>NT_187634.1:0-284869 GCF_000001405.40 Homo sapiens
GAGAGTCCGGAACGCCGCCTCGGGGGCTTGACTCCAGCCCCGGGGATCGAGAACGGCGCCCAGGGGTCCCTACGTCTGCCTTGGGGGCTCGAGTCCCGCCCTGGGCGTCCGTGACGTCGCCCAGGGGTCTCCACGTCTGTCCTGGAACCTGGAGAGCCGCCGTGGGGGCCCCGGAAGCCGCCCAGGAGTCCCCACGTCTGCCCTGGGGGCTCGAGTCCAGCTCTCAGGGTCCCGGACGCCACCCAGGGGGTCCCCATGTCTGCTTTGGGGGCTCGAGTCCAGCCATGGGGGTCCTGGACGCCGCCTTGGCGTCCCCGCGTCTGCCTTGGGGGCCCGAGTCCCGCCCTGGGGGTCCTGGACGCCGCCTCGGCATCCCCGCGTCTGCCTTGGGGGCTCGAGTCCCGCCCTGGGGGTCCCCGATGCCGCCCGGGGGTCCTCACGTCTACCTTGGAGACTGGAGTTCCCCCGTGGGAGTCTCGGACGCCACCCCGGAGTCACCGTGTCTAGCCTTGGGGGCTTGAGTCCAGCCCTGGGGGTCCCGGACGTCGCCGAGGAGCCCCCACGTCTGCCTTTGGGGCTTGAGACCTGCTCTGGGGGTCCCGGTCGCCGCCCAGGTGGGTCCCCACGTCTAGCCTTGGGGGCTTGAGTCCAGCCCTGGGGGGCCCGGATGCCGCCCGGGGGTTCTCCTCGTCTGCCTTGGGGGTTGGGTCCAGCCCCAGGCGTCCTGACCACCGCCCAGGGGCCCCCACGTCTGCCTGGGGGCCTCAAATTCAGTCCTGGGGGTCCCGGACGCCTCCCAGGGGTCTTCATGTCTGCCGTGGGCCTCGAGTCCAGCCGTGAGGGTCCCGAATGCTGCCTTGGAGGGTGGAGTCCAGCTCTGAGGGTCCTGAAGTCAGCTTTGGGGGTTCGAACCCATCCATCCCAGGGGTCCCTGAGTCTACATTAGGGGCTGGAGTCCAGCCTTGAGGGTCTCCACTGCTGCCTTGGGGGCCTGGATGGGATCCAGCGGGTCTGAGTCCAGCCTCGGGAGCCCCTGCGGTGGAGCTCTGAGTGGGGCAGGGGCCTGGGAGATGCCAGGAGGATGAGAGCGGCGCCCCCCTGGTCCAGGGGACAGTAAGAGGCAGCCGGTCTCAGAGAAGCTACCCCAAAACTGTTACCCGTGGTGTGCAGAGCGTCCTGCAACCCCAGCCCTCACCAGGATTTCTTGCGTTTTTCAGGAAATCGGTTGTGATTGGCATGTTCCTTAAGCGTCTGCAGGAAGCCGAGGCCTTTTTGGTATTTCAGGAGGGGTTGCTAACCCCCCTCCTTGTAGGATCGGGGTATCCCAGCTGCTAATTCCCCTCCTAACAGCCCTGCAGCGCCTGGATTGGAGGTGTGACAGGTGGCATTTTTGGCCCGAAGTCCCTAGGCAGGACGGGTGGCTGTAGCCTGCGCGTTTGTGTAAATTAACCTCCCTTTTTAGTTCTGTGAAGGGAGAACGTGATTAGTTTAAAATCACCTGCGTGAAAGAGGCTCTTGATTAGTTTAAAATCACCCACGTGAAAGGGGCTCTTGATTAGCTTAAAATCACCTGGGTGTTTCGTTTTATCTCAGTTGGCCTCTGAATGTTTATCCTACAGCTTCCTGCAAGCTCCAGTCTACCTTCTAAGGGAATAACGGGGCTCGTCTTTCTACGTTACTTTATGTGGGAGTAGTTGTAAAACAGAATGAGGGAGACCGCGGGGATTGTGCGGAAATGTAGCCACCGTTTACATCTCGGGAGGCTGAGGTGGGAGGATCGCTTGAGCCCAGGAGTTTGACACCAGCCTGGGCAACATGGTAAGACCCCTTCTCTACCCTCCCCCCCAAAAAAAAAATTTTAGTGTGGCATGGTGGTGGGTGCCTGTGGTCCCAGCTACTCGGGACGCTGAGGTGGGAGGATTGCTTGAGCCCAGGAGTTTGACACCAGCATGGGCAATATGGTAAGACCCCATTATCTACAAAAAAAAAAAAAAAAAAAAGAAAAGAAAAATTAGCCGGGCGTGGTGGTGGGTGCCTGTGGTCCCAGCTGCTCGGGACGCTGAGGTGGGAGGATTGCTTGAGCCCAGGAGTTTGACACCAGCATGGGCAATATGGTAAGACCCCATTATCTACAAAAAAAAAAAAAAAAAGAAAAGCCGGGCGTGGTGGTGGGTGCCTGTGGTCCCAGCTGCTCGGGACGCTGAGGTGGGAGGATTGCTTGAGCCCAGGAGTTTGACACCAGCATGGGCAATATGGTAAGACCCCATTATCTACAAAAAAAAAAAAAAAAGAAAAGCCGGGCGTGGTGGTGGGTGCCTGTGGTCCCAGCTGCTCGGGACGCTGAGGTGGGAGGATTGCTTGAGCCCAGGAGTTTGACACCAGCATGGGCAATATGGTAAGACCCCATTATCTACAAAAAAAAAAAAAAAGAAAGAAAAGAAAAATTAGCCGGGCGTGGTGGTGGGTGCCTGTGGTCCCAGCTGCTCGGGACGCTGAGGTGGGAGGATTGCTTGAGCCCAGGAGTTTGACACCAGCATGGGCAATATGGTAAGACCCCATTATCTACAAAAAAAAAAAAAGAAAAGAAAAGAAAAATTAGCCGGGCGTGGTGGTGGGTGCCTGTGGTCCCAGCTGCTCGGGACGCTGAGGTGGGAGGATTGCTTGAGCCCAGGAGTTTGACACCAGCATGGGCAATATGGTAAGACCCCATTATCTACAAAAAAAAAAAAAAAAAGAAAAGCCGGGCGTGGTGGTGGGTACCTGTGGTCCCAGCTGCTCGGGACGCTGAGGTGGGAGGATTGCTTGAGCCCAGGAGTTTGACACCAGCATGGGCAATATGGTAAGACCCCATTATCTACAAAAAAAAAAAAAAAAAGCCGGGCGTGGTGGTGGGTGCCTGTGGTCCCAGCTGCTCGGGACGCTGAGGTGGGAGGATTGCTTGAGCCCAGGAGTTTGACACCAGCATGGGCAATATGGTAAGACCCTATTATCTACAAAAAAAAAAAAAAAAAAAAAAAAAAGAAAGAAAAATTAGCCTGGTGTGGTGGTGGGTGCCTGTGGTCCCAGCTGCTCGGGACGCTGAGGTGGGAGGATTGCTTGAGCCCAGGAGTTTGACGCCAGCATGGGCAATATGGTAAGACCCTATTATCTACAAAAAAAAAAAAAAAAAAAAAAAGAAAGAAAAATTAGCCGGGCGTGGTGGTGGGTGCCTGTGGTCCCAGCTGCTCGGGACGCTGAGGTGGGAGGATTGCTTGAGCCCAGGAGTTTGACACCAGCATGGGCAATATGGTAAGACCCCATTATCTACAAAAAAAAAAAAAAAAAAGAAAAGCCGGGCGTGGTGGTGGGTGCCTGTGGTCCCAGCTGCTCGGGACGCTGAGGTGGGAGGATTGCTTGAGCCCAGGAGTTTGACGCCAGCATGGGCAATATGGTAAGACCCTATTATCTACAAAAAAAAAAAAAAAAAAAAAAAGAAAGAAAAATTAGCCTGGTGTGGTGGTGGGTGCCTGTGGTCCCAGCTGCTCGGGACGCTGAGGTGGGAGGATTGCTTGAGCCCAGGAGTTTGACGCCAGCATGGGCAATATGGTAAGACCCCATTATCTACAAAAAAAAAAAAAAAAAAGAAAAGAAAAATTAGCCGGGCGTGGTGGTGGGTGCCTGTGGTCCCAGCTGCTCGGGACGCTGAGGTGGGAGGATTGCTTGAGCCCAGGAGTTTGACACCAGCATGGGCAATATGGTAAGACCCCATTATCTACAAAAAAAAAAAAAAAAAAGAAAAGCCGGGCGTGGTGGTGGGTTCCTGTGGTCCCAGCTGCTCGGGACGCTGAGGTGGGAGGATTGCTTGAGCCCAGGAGTTTGACGCCAGCATGGGCAATATGGTAAGACCCTATTATCTACAAAAAAAAAAAAAAAAAAAAAAAGAAAGAAAAATTAGCCTGGTGTGGTGGTGGGTGCCTGTGGTCCCAGCTGCTCGGGACGCTGAGGTGGGAGGATTGCTTGAGCCCAGGAGTTTGACGCCAGCATGGGCAATATGGTAAGACCCTATTATCTCCAAAAAAAAAAAAAAAAAAAAAAGAAAGAAAAATTAGCCTGGTGTGGTGGTGGGTGCCTGTGGTCCCAGCTGCTCGGGACGCTGAGGTGGGAGGATTGCTTGAGCCCAGGAGTTTGACGCCAGCATGGGCAATATGGTAAGACCCCATTATCTACAAAAAAAAAAAAAAAAAAGAAAAAAATTAGCCGGGCGTGGTGGTGGGTGCCTGTGGTCCCAGCTGCTCGGGACGCTGAGGTGGGAGGATTGCTTGAGCCCAGGAGTTTGACACCAGCATGGGCAATATGGTAAGACCCCATTATCTACAAAAAAAAAAAAAAAAAAAAAAGAAAGAAAAATTAGCCTGGTGTGGTGGTGGGTGCCTGTGGTCCCAGCTGCTCGGGACGCTGAGGTGGGAGGATTACCTGAGCCCAGGAGGTGGAGGCTGCAGTGAGCTTAGATTGCAGCACTGTGCTCCAGCCTGGGTGACAGAGTGAGACCCCATCTCAAACAAGAAGCACCAAAAGGTGTCTGAGATCAGGCACGGTGGCTCACGCCTGTCATTCCAGCACTTTGGGAGGCCGAGGTGGGTGGATCACCTGAGGTCAGGCATTTGAGACCAGCCTGGCCAACATGGAGAAACACTGACTCTACTAAATGTGCAAAAATTAGCCGGGCGTGGTGGCACACACCTGTAGTCCCAGCTACTCCAGAGGCTGAGGTAGGAGAATTGCTTGAACCTGGGAGGTGGAGGTTGCAGTGAGCTGAGATTGTACCACTGCACTCCAGCCTGGGCCATAAAGCGAGAGCTTGACGGTGGGGTGGGGGTGTGGGATGGACCTTCTGTGGTCCCAGCTACTCGGGAGGCTGAGGTGGGAGGATCGCTTGAGCCCAGGAGTTTGACACCAGCATGGGCAACATGGTAAGAACCCATATCTACAAAAAAAAAATTTAAAAATTAGCCGGGTGTGGTGTGTGGGTGCCTGTGGTCCCAGCTACACCACGAGTGGAATTGTGACGTGCACAGCCTGGGTAAATGGGGTTAGCTATATTCACCCTTAAGGGGGCACATACCCTATTATTTCTAACACCACTGAACTCAGAATCGGGACCCAGATTCGCCGGGGCAGCGCGGGACGGAGGCCTCTCCCGGGCTCCGTCTTCCCTGTTAATAGACTGAGAGACGGAATGAGAGCTTCGAAGGTGCTGGGGGAGGAGCATTGGGTGTCCCCAGGTGGTGAGCTTGGGTGTGTGTGTGTAGCCGACAGTCTCCCAGGCTCAGTCTTCCCTGTTAATAGACTGAGAGACGGAATGAGGGCGTCCCCAGGTGGTGAGCTCAGGGACGTGTGTGTGTGTGTGTGTGTGTGTGTGTGTGTGTGTGTGTGTAGCCGTCAGTCTCCTGGGCTCCTGGGTTCCGTCTGCCCTGTTCATAGAGATGGAATGAGGGCGTCCCCAGGTGGTGAGCTCAGGGATGTGTGTGTGTGTGTGTGTGTGTGTGTAGCCGTCAGTCTCCTGGGCTCCTGGGTTCCGTCTGCCCTGTTCATAGAGATGGAATGAGGGCGTCCCCAGGTGGTGAGCTCAGGGACGTTTGTGTGTGTGTGTGTGTGTGTGTGTGTGTAGCCGTCAGTCTCCTGGGCTCCTGGGTTCCGTCTGCCCTGTTCATAGAGATGGAATGAGGGCGTCCCCAGGTGGTGAGCTCAGGGACGTGTGTGTGTGTGTGTGTGTGTGTGTGTAGCCGTCAATCTCCTGGGCTCCTGGGTTCCGTCTGCCCTGTTCATAGAGACGGAATGAGGGCGTCCCCAGGTGGTGAGCTCAGGGACGGTGTGTGTGTGTGTGTGTGTGTGTGTGTGTGTGTGTAGCCGTCAATCTCCTGGGCTCCTGGGTTCCGTCTGCCCTGTTCTTAGAGACGGAATGAGGGCGTCCCCAGGTGGTGAGCTCAGGGACGGTGTGTGTGTGTGTGTGTGTGTGTGTGTGTGTGTGTGTGTGTAGCCGTCAATCTCCTGGGCTCCTGGGTTCCGTCTGCCCTGTTCATAGAGATGGAATGAGGGCGTCCCCAGGTGGTGAGCTCAGGGACGTGTGTGTGTGTGTGTGTGTGTGTGTGTGTGTGTGTAGCCGTCAGTCTCCTGGGCTCCTGGGTTCCGTCTGCCCTGTTCATAGAGATGGAATGAGGGCGTCCCCAGGTGGTGAGCTCAGGGACGTGTGTGTGTGTGTGTGTGTGTGTGTGTGTGTGTGTAGCCGTCAGTCTCCTGGGCTCCTGGGTTCCGTCTGCCCTGTTCATAGAGATGGAATGAGGGCGTCCCCAGGTGGTGAGCTCAGGGACGTGTGTGTGTGTGTGTGTGTGTGTGTGTGTGTAGCCGTCAGTCTCCTGGGCTCCTGGGTTCCGTCTGCCCTGTTCATAGAGATGGAATGAGGGCGTCCCCAGGTGGTGAGCTCAGGGACGTGTGTGTGTGTGTGTGTGTGTGTGTGTGTTTAGCCGTCAGTCTCCTGGGCTCCTGGGTTCCGTCTGCCCTGTTCATAGAGATGGAATGAGGGCGTCCCCAGGTGGTGAGCTCAGGGACGTTGTGTGTGTGTGTGTGTGTGTGTGTGTGTGTGTGTGTGTGTGTAGCCGTCAGTCTCCTGGGCTCCTGGGTTCCGTCTGCCCTGTTCATAGAGATGGAATGAGGGCGTCCGCAGGTGGTGAGCTCAGGGACGTGTGTGTGTGTGTGTGTGTGTGTGTGTGTGTGTGTAGCCGTCAATCTCCTGGGCTCCTGGGTTCCGTCTGCCCTGTTCATAGAGACAGAATGAGGGCGTCCCCAGGTGATCTCAGGGACGTTGTGTGTGTGTGTGTGTGTGTGTGTGTGTGTGTGTGTGTAGCCGTCAATCTCCTGGGCTCCTGGGTTCCGTCTGCCCTGTTCATAGAGATGGAATGAGGGCGTCCCCAGGTGGTGAGCTCAGGGACGTTGTGTGTGTGTGTGTGTAGCCGTCAATCTCCTGGGCTCCTGGGTTCCGTCTGCCCTGTTCATAGAGATGGAATGAGGGCGTCCCCAGGTGGTGAGCTCAGGGACGTTGTGTGTGTGTGTGTGTGTGTGTGTGTGTAGCCGTCAATCTCCTGGGCTCCTGGGTTCCGTCTGCCCTGTTCATAGAGATGGAATGAGGGCGTCCCCAGGTGGTGAGCTCAGGGACGTGTGTGTGTGTGTGTGTGTGTGTGTGTGTGTGTGTAGCCGTCAATCTCCTGGGCTCCTGGGTTCCGTCTGCCCTGTTCATAGAGACAGAATGAGGGCGTCCCCAGGTGGTGAGCTCAGGGACATGTGTGTGTGTGTGTGTGTGTGTGTGTGTGTGTGTAGCCGTCAATCTCCTGGGCTCCTGGGTTCCGTCTGCCCTGTTCATAGAGACAGAATGAGGGCGTCCCCAGGTGGTGAGCTCAGGGACGTGTGTGTGTGTGTGTGTGTAGCCGTCAATCTCCTGGGCTCCTGGGTTCCGTCTGCCCTGTTCATGGAGACAGAATGAGGGCGTCCCCAGGTGGTGAGCTCAGGGACGTGTGTGTGTGTGTGTGTGTGTGTGTGTGTAGCCGTCAATCTCCTGGGCTCCTGGGTTCCGTCTGCCCTGTTCATAGAGACAGAATGAGGGCGTCCCCAGGTGGTGAGCTCAGGGACGTGTGTGTGTGTGTGTGTGTGTGTGTGTGTGTGTGTGTGTAGCCGTCAGTCTCCTGGGCTCCTGGGTTCCGTCTGCCCTGTTCATAGAGATGGAATGAGGGCGTCCCCAGGTGGTGAGCTCAGGGACGTGTGTGTGTGTGTGTGTGTGTGTGTGTGTAGCCGTCAATCTCCTGGGCTCCTGGGTTCCGTCTGCCCTGTTCATAGAGACAGAATGAGGGCGTCCCCAGGTGGTGAGCTCAGGGACGTGTGTGTGTGTGTGTGTGTGTGTGTGTGTGTGTGTAGCCGTCAGTCTCCTGGGCTCCTGGGTTCCGTCTGCCCTGTTCATAGAGATGGAATGAGGGCGTCCCCAGGTGGTGAGCTCAGGGACGGTGTGTGTGTGTGTGTGTGTGTGTGTGTGTGTGTGTGTGGCCGTCAATCTCCTGGGCTCCTGGGTTCCGTCTGCCCTGTTCATAGAGACGGAATGAGGGCGTCCTCAGGTGGTGAGCTCAGGGACGTGTGTGTAGCCATGATTATCCTTTAGTACCTGGTCCCCGTGCCATCCGAGCCATCCAAGGGCTTCAGGAGGCCGCGCAGAAGGAGGGTCGGTAAGCGAGTCCACGGACCACCACGCAGGCCCTGACCCCGCCAGGGGCCCTTTGGAGGGTGAGCCCTGCGTGTTGGGGGGATGATGGCTCCGGAGGGTGAGCTCTGGGATGAGAGGGGACGTGCAGGTGGCCGCATTGCAGACACAGCTGGCTCGGGACCTGGGCGCCATCTGCCGTCGACTCAGCTCGCTCCTGAGCTGTGCCTCTTCCTTGCCTCACGTTGGAGATAAAAAGCCATAGATGGCCGGGGGCGGTGGCTCAGGCCTGTCATCCCAGCACTGTGGGATACCAGCGCAGGAGGGTTGCCTCAGCCCAGGGGTTCGAGACCAGCCTGGCCAGCATAGCGAGACCCTCTTCTCTGTAACAATTTTTTTTTTTTCTTTTTTTTTTTTTTGAAACAGAGTCTCGCTCTGTCACCCAGGCTGGACTGTAGTGGTACGATCTCAGCTCACGGAAACCTCCGCCTCCCGGGTTCCCGGGTTCAAGTGATTCTCCTGCCTCAGCCTCCCGAGTAGCTGGGATTACAGGCAGCTGCCACCATGCCTGGCTAAATTCTGTATTTTTAGTAGAGACGGGGTTTCTCCATGTTGGTCAGGCTGGTCTTGAACTCCCGACCTCAGGTGATCCGCCCACCTCGGCCTCCCAAAGTGCTGGGATGACAGGCGTGAGCCACCGCGCCCGGCCTCTTTCAGGTTTTTATATGTAACTTTGCCACTCAGTCGGTACTGAAGCCGTTATGGAGGCCTGCCTGGTGAGATGCGGCTGCCACAGTGTGGCTGGTATTCGAAACACACAGGAGGCCGCAGCCAGCTTAGCAGAAGCACCAGGGCTTTCGGAACTTGGTTTTGAGAGTTTCCTGTTTTCTTGACTTTCATATACCATGGATGGTAATAACTGTTGGGGGGAAAAAGCTATTAAAGATTCCTGTGGATGGTGAGATGACCTTGGTTTCAGAAACACCCAGACACAGAGAATTGTGCATTTTACAATCCAATAAATCTACGCTGGGCACGGTGGCTCATGCCTGTCATCCCAGCACTTTGGGAGGCCGAGGTAGGTGGATCACCTGAGGTCAGGAGTTCGAGACCAACCTGGCCAACATAGTGAGAACCTGTCTCTACTAAAAATACAAAAAATTAGCGGGGCGTTGTGGCAGGTGCCTGTAATCCCAGCTGCTCTGGAGGCTGAGGTGGGAGAATTGCTTGAACCCGGGAGGCAGAGGTTGCAGTGAGCTGAGACCATGCTGCTGTACTCCAGCCTGGGTGACAGGGCGAGGATCCATCTTAAAAAAAAAAAATCTGATCATTTACCTGTGCACCTTCACAAGTGTTAAAAAAAAAAAAAAACCGGGCGTGGTGGCTCACGCCTGTCATCCCAGCACTTTGGGAGGCTGAGGTGGGTGGATCACGAGGTCAGGAGATCGAGACCATCCTGGCTAATTCGGTGAAACCCCGTCTCTACTAAAAATACAAAAAATTAGCTGGGTGTGGTGGAAGGTGCCTGTAGTCCCAGCTGCTCAGGAGGCTGAGGCGGGAGAATGGCGTGAACCCAGGAGGCGGAGCTTGCAGTGAGCTGAGATTGCAGCACTGCACTCCAGCCTGGGTGACAGAGCCAGACTCTGTCTCAAAAAAAAAAAAAAGATTGGGTTGATATTTTACCTACTATAATCTTATATGTTTGCAATTTCCTGTCATTGAGTTTTATAACTTTCTGCCCTTTGCTGACAAAAACATTTAAAATGTCTCATGGCAGCCTGTGTTCTTAAAATTCAAACTGTTTATCCATAGCCCTTGAGAGAAGGGTTTAATGTGAGTTGGTTGGGAGTGACCGTTGTCTGTTTTTTTGAGACAGAGTGTCGCTCGCTCGCCCAGGCTGGAGTGTAGTGGCGCGATCTCGGCTCACTGCAAACTCTGCCTTCCAGGTTCAAGTGATCCTTCTGCCCCAGCCCTCCAGCTAGCTTGGATTACAAACATGCACCACCACACCTGGCTAACTTTTGTATTTTTGGTAGAGACAGCGTTTTACCACGTTGGCCAGGCTGGTCTCAAAATCCTGAGCTCAAGGGATCCGCCTGCCTCAGCCTCCCAAAGTGCTGGGATTACAGGCGTGAGGCACGACGTCAGGCCAAGGGGGTGGCTGTTTTATAACAGGTTTGCAAGTTTGTTTTTGTTTTTGTTTTTCTTTTTTTTTGAGGTGGAGTTTTGCTCTTGTTCCCCAGGCTGGAGTGCAATGGCAAGATCTCGGCTCACTGCAGCCTCTGCCTCCCGGTTTCAAGGGATTCTCCTGCCTCAGCCTCTCGAGTAGCTGGGATTACAGGCACCTGCCACCATGCCTGGTTAATTTTGTATTTTTAGTAGAGATAGGGGTTTTTCCGTGCTGGCCAGGCTGGTCTCAAACTCCCGAACTCAGGTGATCCACCCGCCTCGGCCTCCCAAAGTGCTGGGATTACAGGCGTGAGCCCCCGTGCCCAGCCAGGGGGTTGCTGTTTTATAATAGGTTTGCAAGTTTGTTTTTTGTTTTGTTTTGTTTTGTTTTTTTGAGACGGAGTTTTGCTCTTGTTGCCCAGGCCGGAGTGCAATGGCACAACCTTGGCTCACTACAACCTCCGCCTCCCGGGTTCAAGCTATTCTCCTGCCTCAGTCTCCTGAGTAGCTGGGATTACAGGCGTCCACCACCACGCCCGGCCAAGGGGGTGGCTGTTTTATAACCAGTTTGCAAGTTTGTTTTTCTCGTGTGTTAGAGGAAAATCTCTTCATGATATGGTGAAGCCGTCGTCTGTTTTGGAAGACGGTGGCCAGGAAAATGGTGGTAAGTTCTCCTGAAAGCAAACGCAGAAGGAAATAAAAATGACTGACAATTAGATCGTACAAAGATGAGCATTGTTTTTATTTATTTTTTTTGAGACGAAGTCTTGTTCTGTCACCCAGGCTGGAGTGCAATGGCACGATCTTGGCTCACTGCAACCTCTGCCTCCCAGGTTCAAGTGATTCTACTGCCTCAGCCTCCTGAGAAGCTAGAATTACAGGCATGCTCCACCACTACCCAGCTAATATTTGTAGTTTTAGTAGAGACGGGATTTCACCATGTTGGCCAGGCTGGTCTCGAACTCCTGACCTCAGGTGATCCACCCACCTCGGCCTCCCAAAGTGCTGGGATGACAGGCGTGAGCCACCGCGCCCCGGCCCCGGATTCTATTTCTTAAACTGCAGGAAATACTAAATACTTTACATGCGTATGTTTCTCATTTCATTTTCCTACAGGAATTGGAGAGTGAGTTGCTGAGATTTCATTTTTATTCTCTTGGTCCTCATCATGCAAATGGCTAAATGGTTTTTTTTTGAAACAGGGTCTCGCTCTGTCCCCCAGGCTGGAGTGCAATGGGGCGATCTCGGCTCACTGCAACCTCTGCCTCCCGGGTTCAAGCCATTCTCCTGCCTCAGCCTCCCGAGTAGCTGGGATCACAGGTGCGCACCACCGTGTCCGTCTGATTGTTAAATTTTTCCTAGAGACGAGGTTTTGCCACGTTGCCCAGGCTGGTCTCAAACTCCTGAGCTCAGGTGATCCCCCCACCTCGGCCTCCGAAGGCGCTGGGCTTCCAGGCGTGCAGAGGGCTCTTTGTCTACATCCGTCACTGGATTTTCTACCCACGGGGACATGTGACCCCAGCGAGGTGGTCGGGGAGTCGTCGCCGGCCGGCGCTGCAGCCCAGGGATGATGACGGCTCTAGGAGTTTGGTTGTGGAGCACAGATGCCGGCGGTGTGGGCACGAGGCCCTGCACCTGCGTTTCTCCTGCACGGGCCCCGGAACCCCGGGATGGGATCTCTGTGGAGTGATCACGTCAGTGGGCTCTCGGCGAGGCTGGCGGGTGGGAGTCGGCGGCATCCGGGCCGGGCCCCTGAGGCTTGGCTCCCTCTCTGCACCCCAGGGGTCCCACAGGCTGGTGACAGCGCGACTGAAGGCCACGCTGCAGTCAGGAGGCCGCCCCACGTGTGACCCCGGGTCTTCCCGCCCCGCCCTGACCCAGGGTCCTGGCCTTCCACGTGTGACCCTGGTTTTGGCACCTGTCCCCGCCCCCCCGTCCTGTTCCCCTCCTCTCTCCCTGCCCCCCCTCCCCTCTCCCCGCCCCCCCTCCCCCCTCCCCCCTCCCCGTCCCCCCTCCCCGTCCCCCCTCCCCCCCTCCCCGTCCCCCCTCCCCCTCCCCCCGTCCCCCGTCCCCCCTCCCCCCGTCCCCCGTCCCCCCTCCCCCTCTCCCCGTCCCCCCCTCCCCCTCTCCCCGTCCCCCCCTCCCCCTCTCCCCGTCCCCCCCTCCCCCTCTCCCCGTCCCCCCCTCCCCCTCTCCCCGTCCCATCTCTCCCTTGAGTCCTTGGGTGGTCCTGGCCGCACGCCTACCTGGCGGCCCCATCCCTCCCTTCAGGGCAGGGACAGCCGATGCCCCGCACCTCCCCCATCGCTTTTCTGCCTCTGCCCCCTCCCCACATAGGCCTGGCGTCCCCTGGACTCCTGTAGGCCGAGCTGTAGTCTTAAGAAGTCAGTGTGTCCCGCAGCCCTAAAAGGTTGGGGTACCCTCCGGCCGTCATGTTCTGGGCACCCTATAGTCCTAAAGGGTCAGGGCACCCCATGGCTGTCATGTTTAGAGTACCCCATAGTCCTAAAGGATTGGGGCACCCCACATCCCCGGTGTTCAGGGCATGTCATAGTCCTAAAAGGTCGGGGTACCCCTGGATGAGGGGCGGTCAGGAGGGTCAGGGCCCGGGTGGACATCCTGTCATCCTACCCTGTGGGCCATGCCCTGTGTCCCTGACTCTGACATTGGGTGAGGTGAGGACGGGGCAGGTTTCCATGGTACATTTATTTATTTTTTGAGACGGAGTCTCGCTCTGTCGCCCAGGCTGGAGTGCAGTGGTGTGATCTCGGCTCCCTGCAAGCTCCGCCTCCCGGGTTCACGCCATTCTCCTGCCTCAGCCTCCCGAGTAGCTGGGATCACAGGCGCCCGTCACCGCGCCCGGCTAATTTTTTTGTATTTTTAGTAGAGACGGGGTTTCACCATGTTGGCCAGGCTGGTCTCTAACTCCTGACCTCGTGATCTGCCTGCCTCGGCCTCCCAAAGTGCTGGGATGACAGGCGTGAGCCCCTGTGCCTGGTGGGACCCCAGTTTTCTATTAAAAAAAGGCCGGGCGCGGTGGCTCACACCTGTCATCCCAGCATTTTGGGAGGCCGAGGCGGGTGGATCACTTGAGGTCAGTTGTTTGAGACCATCCTGGCCAACATGGAGAAACCCCGTCTCAACTGAAAATACAAAAATTAGCCGGGCGTGGTGGTGGCGGGCGCCTGTGATCCCAGCTACGCGGGAGGCTGAGGCAGGAGAATCGCTTGAACCCAGAAGGCAGAGGCTGCAGTGAGCCGAGATCGCACCATGGCAGTCCAGCCTGGGCGACAAACAAAAAACAGGTACAGCATAGAGTCTGCCTTTCTGGAATCACTATAGCTAGGGGGCTGCCTCCCTAAGCCCCACTTCTCTGAGTCTCCTGCAAGGTTTGTGTGAGTGCCTGCGGGCCGAGGCCCTGGCGAGGAGGACGGGGGCTCGGGGGCCTCTGTGACCTGGGGGAGGGGCTGTCGCGTCCCCCTGTGGTCGCGTCCCCCTGTGGTCGCGTCCCCCTGTGGTCGCACCTGTGGGCTGTCGGCCGTAGGTACCGCTCAGGCCCGTCCTGGTTGCGGGGCAAGGGCCTGTGTGTTGGGGGCTGAGAGACGGGGCCTAGAAGCCCTGTTGTGGGGAGGCCTGTGGGGGGCTTGTCCAAGCGGGACCTCCTATCCCTGCACCACTGGGGTCGTCCCCCCCCGACGGGGCCTCGTCCCCCCCGACGGGGCCTCGTCCCCCCCCATGGCTGCTCCGTGAGGTCAGGCAGCGCCGCGCTGGGGAGATGGGGTGGCCCTGTCCCCGCAGAGGGGCTGTTCTCTGGGGCAGAGGCGGGCAGGACCCCCCGCCTTGTGGTCAGGACCCACTCGTGGCAGCCGGGGCTGCTGCGGGAGCTGATAACGGGGTGGAGACAGCTACGCCATGGTGAGGACACGGGGCCGGGGGAGGCTGCAGCCGACGGCCAGGCCCCCCTGCGGAAGACCCGGGGCAGCCCCCGCCTAGGAGCTGCGCAGACACGTCCTGGGGCCGCTGTTTCACCGAGACCCGAACGGCTGCTCCCCAGGCTCTGAGTGGCGTGTGCGGCAGCCAAGGCTGGGGGAGCTGTGACTTCTACACGGCGCCAGGGCGCAGGGATCCCTGCTGTGCCAGGGTCTGCCCGTGGGTCATGGGGAACGTGGTTCGAGGCCCCTCTGCTGTAGCCACGCAGCAGCGTCTTGCCGGGTGCGTGGCCTTGTCTGCAGGCTTGAGACCCAGCGGGGCCGTCTGTGCCACGTGGGGTCTGCGCCGGCCCAGGGGCCGCACCGCTGTCAGCCACAGGATGTGTGTCTCGGGGCTGCGGCAGACGGGGCTTCTGTGCCGTGTGGGGTCCGACCCCTCGGCCTGGGCAGGGCGGCCCGTGGGCACCGTGCTGGGGACGACCTCCGGCCTCTGCTCCTTCCCCGGCTCTGAGTCATAAAGGCCTCCCGCTCCCCCGGGAGCCGTGTCTTCTCTAGGAACTGCTGAGCGCGGCTGGGTCTGGCTCTGCCTCATTCCTGCATCTGATGCCCGCCCGTTCTCCCCCAACTCCCCTTTCTCCATCTCCTCCCTCCCCTCCGTCTTGCCCGTCTCCATTTCCTCCATCTCTCCCTTCTCCGTCTCCTCCGTCTCGTGGCTGTCCAGACCCCGTCCCTCCGCAGGCTGGGTCCCCCCTTGTTCTGGGCGGGGCTCTCGGTGCCGGTCTGGTGCCAGTGCTGGGAACCTGTGGTGCCCGTCACCTCTGCTCCCCGTCACCTCGGCTCCACCTCGAGGAGCTGTGTCCTGTCCCACGAGGAGGCGCCCCGGGACCTCAGGGCTGCAGGCCATGGCTGGGTCCGGCTTTGCCTCATCCCCTGTATCTGAGGCCCCCCAGTTCTCCCCCATCTCCCCCTCTCCATCTCCTCTGTCTCCCCCGTCTCATGGCTCTCCGGGCCCCGTCCCCCCCACCAGGCTGGGTCCCCTTATTCTGGGTAGCCCGTCTTGCCATCACTGTCCCTGCCGCCCCTCAGGACAGCGCTGTGGATGCCGGTCTGGTGCCGGCGGTCACCCCTGCTGCGCCTTGAGCAGCTGTGTCTTGTCCCGTGAGGAGGTGCCCCGGGACCTCAGGGCTGTGGCTGGCACCTTTCATGGTCCTCCCCGAACAGAGCTCATGCTGCTGCTCCTGGGTGGACCCGGGGCTGCCCCTGTGAACACTCTTGGTTCTGACACGAAGGCACCCCGTGAGGGAGGGGAGGGGTGGGCTGGGTCGGGTCCCTGCTCGGGGATCTCCAAGGGGTGACGGCCACGAAGTGCGGGGGACCCACGATTGTCATTCAGAGGGTGAGGTGCTGAGCCCTGGAACATCCTGGCTTCTGGCGGGACGCTGGCCACGGTCAGGGTGCCCCGAGTGCTTGTTTTGTGGGGTCCCTGGCCCCCTGCACACGTGAGCCCTCGGGGGAATGGACCCCCAGAACACGTGGAGGGCATGACTGCTGGGCTCTGGGTCTCCCCGCAGCGCCGCCGTCCACTAGGACCCCCGACAGGACCCCCCCACTTCTCCGGCAAAGGTGTCGGTGTGCACGCCCGGCCCCGGCACTGCCCGGGGCATCTGGGGTTGTGGCTGGGGAAGGACGGGGCACTTGGGGGAATGCATTGGGTACAGGGATGTCGGAGGATGCTCAGTGGCTGTGCAGGGGCCTCACCAGCGTCGTGGGTGGGGGACGCTGTCTTTCACGGCCCCAGGGAGGCCTCTCATGTCTCAGCCTTGAACCCTAATTGGGGGGGCTCCCAGTGTCAGTGTGGGGAGGCTGAGGGCGCTGGTCAGAGCCCTCCCATGACCATGGGCTCCGGCTCATAGGTGTGTGTGTGTTGGGGGGTGGTGTCCGGAGGTGGTGTGGGGCGGACATGGTCTCCCAGACGGGCTCCCCGGAGCTGAGGGCAGGGTGGGCCCTGCGGGCCGTGGCTCCCAGTGTCATTTCCCTGCGGCAGAACCTCCTGCCCTGCACCTGTCCTGTTGTTGGGGGTCCTGACCCTTCGCAGACCCAGGTGGGGGCATCCGGGAATTCAGGGGAGCACCTGGTGACACTGAGGACACCTTGGGGACAGCAGCATTCCCCCGGGAGGTGCTGCCTCGTCTACCCACCACCTGGAGCCCCCGCAGTCTCTCCTCAGGGGTCACGGGACCACCCTGTGCGTCCGCCTCCTTCACAGCGACGGCTGCCGGTGGATGAACGGGGTGCGTATGCTGCTCTCGGGGTGGTCCCGGCTTGGCCCTGCCCTGCCGCGTGGACGCTGCCACCTCCGTTTCCTGGGGGAGAGTTTTGTCGTGTGTGAGGACGGGGTTGTTCCCATGGTCACCACCTGTGACCCTCACCTGCGTGCAGAGGGAGCACAGCTGGGCCTGGGCTCATCCACGTCGGGTGCCCCTGGGGTGCTTGTGGCCTCCCCTGCACAGGGAGCTCCTCCTGGTGGGGCCTCCGACCCCCCTCATTTAGGTGTCCCCCAGCTGTGGACGTCCCCACTCTGGCGCGGGCTCCTTCCTTCTGGGGTCGTTTGTGGAACGGGGCCTGGGTCCGTGGCTCCGGGAGGGAACGGCCCCGAGGGTGGGGTCCCCCTGGCTGGGGAGGGGCCCCGCAGAGAGGCCCAGGCTGCACCCCGAGGCGTCTGGCGTGGCTGCGGTCCCCCTCCAGCACTGACGCTTGTAAATCCTGGACGGAGCCACGCTGTGGCTGAGGGAGCCGAGCCCGTGACTGAAAATCCTCCAAACGTACAAGCGTGATCGCCAGAAACGGTTTTGTACGTTTACACAAAACATTCACACAGCCTGTGGTGGAGGCTCCTGTCCAGGACTGAAGCGCCCGGGAGCCGCCGGTCACCGTTGTGCGCACACGGACCCTTTCCACAGACGCAGGCCCCGGAACCCAGGCTGGGTCGGGAACGGCAAGCGCCAGAGGGTGTCCGTGTGGGAACCCGTCCCATTCACGCGCGGCCCTACGTGTCCCCCTGGCACAGAGCTCTGGGCAGGTCCAGCCACGAACCCACAGCGGCAATCAACACGCTTCTGTGAATAAATAAAAGTTTATCATTCCGTACAAACGCACTCATTTTCCACAACAGTTTTTACACGAGCCGCGGTGGCCCGGTGGTGGCACGTGGGGAGCGGCCCCGCGGCGGCGTTCTCGCGGGCGGCGTCACAGCGGCTCCAGGTCCTCGTCCCCGCATGCGTACTCGTACAGGTCCACGGCGCCCAGCGGTGAGGGCGCCTCGAAGAAGGGCCTCTGGGCCAGCGGGGAGCGCAGCGCACTCAGCTTCTGCTCCACAGGGCTGAGCTCGGCCTCGAACCTGCAACGAGGGGATGGCGAAGACGTGGCCAGCAGCGCGGAGCAGGCCCTGGGCCGTTTTCCGGGAAACACAGGCTGCTCGGCCGCCAACCTCCAGCACGAGACAGTCCCCTGAGCCGACCTTGAGCTCCAGCCGCTGAGCCAGCAACGCGCTCCTGGCTGAGGACGCCGGCTCCACGAATGCTCCCGGGGGAGGGGCCTGCGGTGCAGGTGAAAACCCACCCAGGACGGGACGGAGCCCCGGGCGTGAGCTACACACAGAGGACCTGGGCGGGCGCGCCTCTTCCCCAAAGCGAGCTGCACGGGACCTGTGTTTACAACTGGGTCGTGGTGTCCACACAGGACTGGAGAACAAACAGGACCACAGTTTAGACACATTCTCCCAAAGCACAGAAGCTCCCAGTGGAGGCTACCACTTCCGTTCTGACCAGAACACGCAGCAGTGCGAGGACTGGACGCGCGCCTTCCCTTAAGGTCTCGGCAGTGACGTCGGGCGCTGCTCCGGGGAACCCAGCGCGGCCACGGACCACACAGACTCTCAGAGATCCTGTGGGGACACCTCTGCTTTCCAAGACGCCCCCGACAGCCTGGCACTGAGCTCCCCGCGGTCACCCCCACGGACCTGAGCTCCCACTGCCGGAGCAGGCGTGGACACGGTGAAGGCAGTCGACCCCAGCGTGCTGCTGGCTGTGCCGCAGACACAAAGCCGGGCAGCCGTGGGGGTGGACACTGGTCAGGTGGGGAGCAGAGGTGACAGACGGTGGTGGGGACAGGCGCACACCCATCCAGGCTAGGTCTGGGGGCCACAGCTGCCTTAGGGTGTCCGACAGGAGAAGGCAGAGACTGGGAAGTTGTGGGGACCCAGAGGTTGGCTGCCAGGTCAGAGCCACCGTGCAAACAATGACCACGAGGAGGACGGACACACAGGACAGACGGCCCAGGGTGGGCCGCAGGGGCCCTGTGCTGCTTGGCAGGAATCGGACGGGGCGGCTGATGGGGGAGCAGGGGTTAAAATGCACGTCCATGGAACCCATGGGTCGGGAACCCAACGGTAACCAGAAAGTATTTTGAGCTGCACCAAAATCAGAAGGCCGCGGGCTGCGGTGTCCATGGCCCACGTCGCTGCCTGAAGATACTCAAGGAAAACAGCAGAACAAAGGGGAGAAACACCCGTGGTTCCCTGGGAAGAGGAGTGAACCTCGTCGGCCCCTCGCCTCACTGATCACACACAAAGTCAGTATCAGGAGCGTGAGAGACGCTATCACTGGATTCTGCAGACATCAGAGTCACGAGCAGGAAATACCAACAATAACCCACTGATGGGAACGGGCAAGTTTCCGAAACACACAAACCAGCAAAGCTCACTCAAGGCTGGGCAGGGGCTCACACCTGTAATTCCGGCACGTTGGGGGACCGAGGCGGGGAGAACCCTCGAGCTCAGGCATCCAAGACCAACCTGGGCAACACGGTGAAACCCCATCTCTACAAAAAAATACAAAAAAGTAGCCGGGTGTGGTGGTGCGTGCCTGGAAGCCCAGCTACTCGGGGGGCTCAGGTGCGAGGATTCCTTAAGCCCAGCAGGTGGAGGGTGCAGTGAGCTGAGATTGCGCCAATGCCCTCCAGCCTGCGTGACACAGCCAGACCCTGTCTCCAAAAAAATAATAAAATACTACAGATAATCTCTGCAAAGAGAATCCAGTAATATGTGAGGATAACACATGACTCGGCAAGATCTATCCTGGGAACACGAGGCTGGCTGAAAATGACTCGGTGTAACTCGCTGTATGGACACACAGAGGAACCACGGAGCGAAAGCATCTGAGAAATTCGGCCCCCACTGCGAGAAAGCCCCCGCAGACCAGGAAGAGGGAGAACATCCTCGCCAATGAGCGTGCTTACCGCTGCGTGAGGGGAGACGTCCCCCAGGACTGGGAACGAGGACGGCACACAAACCAGCAGGGCTCACTCAAGGCTGGCCGTGGTCTGCCCTGACATCCACCACATCTCCCTGCGGGTTCCAGGCCATGCAGCAGGCAAGAGAAAGGAAGTAACGTACACAGAGAGGTGAAAAGGAAGACGAGAGACGGACCCACTGACAGACATGGGCTGTCCACGCAGAAAACCCCAAAGAACCGACAGAGCTTTGAGATCCAGTAAGTGAGTTTCATGAAGGTGCAAAACACAAGGTCAATAAATTCTATATGCTACCAACGAACAACTGGAAACGGGAACCTTAAAAGCACCGCTGACAACAGGAAAACATCAGGAAACACTCAGAAGTCTCACAACATTCGCATCAAGCGTACACGGAAAGCTACAAAAATCCTGCCGAGAGACACGGACGGCGCCCATGGACTGGGCCTCCTGCGGTTATGAAGGCGGCAGCTGGGCCCACAGGGATCCATTCACTCAGCGAGATCTCACTCAAAAGTTCAGATTGTTTGTTTTTGTTTTGGAAATGGAGTTTTGCTCTCGTTGCCCGGGCTGGAGTGCAGTGGCGCGATCTTGGCTCACTGCAACCTGCACCTCCCGAGTAGCTGGGATTACAGACGTGTGCCACCATCCCTGGCTTTTTTTTTTTGGAGACGGAGTCTCGCTCTGTCACCCAGGCTGGAGTGTGGTGGCGCGATCTCGGCTCACTGCAAGCTCCGCCTCCCAGATTCACGCCATTCTCTTGCCTCAGCCTCCCGAGTAGCTGGGACTACAGGCGCCCGCCACCACGCCCGGCTAATTTTTTTTTTGTTTAGTAGAGACGGGGTTTCACCATGTTGGCCAGGATGGTCTCGATCTCCTGACCTCGTGATCCGCCCTCCTCAGCCTCCCAAAGTGCTGGGATGACAGGCGTGAGCCACCGCGCCCGGCCAGAAGGAGCCTATTCTTATGTGTTTTCATACAAAGGCAAAGAAACCAGAATAGCCAACGTAGCGCGGGACAGAAGCAGAACTGAGAAGCTCAGCACGGGATGGCAAAAGTGACCACGTCGCTCCAGCGTGCACCACGGGAGGCCGGTGGGGGCCACAGTCCACGTGGTCCCGGGACCAGCACTCACCACCACGTCAGAGTCCAACACACGTTCCCACAGGACGGCAGAGCAAGGACGGGCTGAGTCTAAGATTCACACACAGGCAGCCCAACACCAGAATGGCCCCGACAGTTCCACACGGCGCCCAAGTCGGAGGCTTCTCACCACAGCCAGCTCTGCCGCGGGAACGGACAGACGCGTGCAGCAGTGGGACGGAGGAAGGTTCCGGAACGGAGCCCGCACACGGCACAGTCACGACGCCGAGGCAACGCTGCGGCCTGCAAAGCTGATGCTGGGACAGTCGGACACCCGGACACCCACGTACCACAAGGGGAACCTCAATCCGAGCTTCACACCCCACAGGGAAGGTTACTCAAGAGGACCCCAGACCAAAACACAAAACATCGCAGAGGAAAATCTTCGTGGCTTTGGATTCAGAAATGAATTCTTAGATATGACACCAGAAACACCGCTGTAAAAATAACCAGTCAGTGTCTCCTCCTCCAAATTCAGAACATCTCTGAGACACCACGTGAAGAGGGGGTGAAAACATACGTCACAAACTGGGAAAAAGGCGAACACGTCGCAAATAAAGGGTTTGTATGCTGAAGACACGAAGAACCCTCACGCTCCGTGAGAAAGCAACCAGCCCAGGGCCTCTCAGGGCCTCCAAGGCTGGAAGGCCGAAGCGGAGGCTGGAATGGCCACGGGCCCTGCAGCCTGCCCAGCAGGTGCCAGCCGTGGGATAAGGACAGACGTCGTTGGCGAAACACGACTCGGCCTCCCCGTGCTGGGCCTGATGTGCGAAGCCTCGCGCCCAGGATCACAGAACCCCACGCGGGGAATGACGGGCAGACTGCACCGAGGCCCGGCCCTGTCATCGGCTGTCCTTACCTCACCGGCCCCGTGTCAGGTCTCACCCCGCCCCTCTGTGTCCGCGCACCCCACCTGACTGACCCCGCATCCCCCGGCTGCACACACACCCGTCCTCCCACTCACCCGTCCTCCCCACTCACCCGTCCTCCCACTGACCCGTCCCCCCACTCACCCGTCCTCCCCACTCACCCGTCCTCCCAGGGCTCTCCCGCAGTCTCCTCGGCCACCAGGATGTCGTACTCCTCGGCCGCGTACTTCTCCCAGTCCGAGAGCTCGGGGCCGCCGCTGTCACCGTCCTGGAGGAAGCACACGGGTTACGTACACGGCGTGGCGCGGCCCGGCCCGCGTGCCCGCCGCACTCACCCTGAGCAGGGAGATCTGCTCTTTCTGCTCGTGGTCGAGGTACTTCTCGATGTTGAAGAAGGTGTCGAAGAAGACGTTAGCCAGCTTGCAGCGCTTCAGGTCCTGCAGCGTGATCTTCCCTGCGGGGAGGGGAGTGCGTCCAAGGCGCGTGAGCCCGGTCTCACCTTCGGGGCCTGGGTGTGGGGTGCGCGCGTCCTGTCACACGTGCTTAAGGACGCGGCACGAAGCTCCGGGCTCTCACGCCACGTGTTTGACGTGAAAGGCGGACACGCGAGTGTCCTGGTTCTGGGTGGGGACTGAGGCGTGGGAGGCCGTGATGCGGAGGCGACTAGGGGCCACCGGTGCCCCAAGGATGCGTGGACTGGGACTAGCGCAGGGAGGCGCGGCCAGCAGGGGCGCTGCTGGATCTGAAATTACAGAGAACGGAGCTCCCCGTGCAGGCAGAGGCCAGAGGGTGTCCCGGGGACACTGAGCAGCAGGAGGCGCCCCATGGCCGGGGGGGGCAGGGCTGCAGGGCGGTGCCCGGGCCTCAGAGCCATTTCCAAAGTGAAAGTCCCAGAGCTGGATTCTGAGATGCAGAAGGAAGCCAGGCGGCGTGGACGGTGGGGCTCCCCTTTGCCTTAGAGGGCACGGGGGTGGGTGGGAGGAGCTGGGGAGATGGTGTGGGGGGAACAGGGGTGAGGGGAGGAGCCGGGGGGGGGTGAGAGGGGAGGAGCCGGGGGGGTGAGAGGGGAGGAGCCGGGGGGGGTGAGAGGGGAGGAGCCGGGGGGGGGTGAGAGGGGAGGAGCCGGGGGGGGTGAGAGGGGAGGAGCCGGGGGGGGATGAGAGGGGAGGAGCCGGGGGGGTGAGAGGGGAGGAGCCGGGGGGGTGAGAGGGGAGGAGCCGGGGGGGGGTGAGAGGGGAGGAGCCGGGGGGGGGTGAGAGGGGAGGAGCCGGGGGGGGGTGAGAGGGGAGGAGCCGGGGGGGGTGAGAGGGGAGGAGCCGGGGGGGGTGAGAAGGGAGGACCCGGAGGGGGTGAGAGGGGAGGACCCGGGGGGGGGTGAGAGGGGAGGACCCGGGGGGGGGTGAGAGGGGAGGACCCGGGGGGGGGTGAGAGGGGAGGAGCTGGGGGGGGTGAGAGGGGAGGACCCGGGGGGGTGAGAGGGGAGGACCCGGGGGGGTGAGAGGGGAGGAGCCGGGGGGGTGAGAGGGGAGGAGATGGGGGGGGTGAGAGGGGAGGAGATGGGGGGGGTGAGAGGGGAGGAGATGGGGGGGGTGAGAGGGGAGGAGATGGGGGGGGTGAGAGGGGAGGAGATGGGGGGGGTGAGAGGGGAGGAGATGGGGGGGGGCGAGAGGGGGGGAGGAGCCGGGGGGGGGTGAGAAGGGAGGAGACGGGGGGGGGCGGGGTGAGAGGGGAGGAGACGGGGGGGGGGGGTGAGGGGAGGACCGCCTTGTGCGGCATCAGCACGAACGTGGCAACTGCTCCCTCAGCCCAGTGCCAACGTCCCCGGTGAGCTCCGGCCCTAGGTTCTCTAGGTCACCCCTCGGGGGGTGTCGACGCCCCGAATAGGAGGTTCTTGCACTGTGAGACTAGGCACCTGTGGTGCTGGCCCTCCTCACAAACTCAGTAGGACAGCGCCTCACAGGGACGTCCCCTCACCCTGGTCCGTCCCCCCTCCCGTCTGTCCCCTCACCCTGGGCCGTCCCCCCTCCCGTCCGTCCCCTCACCCTGGGCCGTCCCCCCTCCCGTCCGTCCCCTCACCCTGGGCCGTCCCCCCTCCCGTCCGTCCCCTCACCCTGGGCCGTCCTCCCTCCCGTCCGTCCCCTCTCCCTGGGCCGTCCTCCCTCCCGTCCGTCCCCTCTCCCTGGGCTGTCATCCGTCCCCTCTCCCTGGGCCGTCCTCTCGCCCGTCCGTCCCCTCACCCTGGGCCGTCCTCTCGCCCGTCCGTCCCCTCACCCTGGGCCATGCCCTCACGGGGCATCACCTTCAGTCCTCGGCTTGACCAGGTCCAGCATCTGGCAGAGGCAGTCCTGGAAGGGCAGGGCCTCGATGGCCATGCTGTCCAGCCTTCGGCACTGCTCCTCGTAGAAGTACTCGAGCTCGAACATGGACAGGGCGCCGTCCCCGTCCAGGTCCATGCAGCGGAACCAGTACTCGATGCTGCGGCACGGCGAGCTCTGTCAGCCCCTGCCCTGGGCCCTCCCAGCCCGTGACCTGCAGCCCCTGAGGCAGCCCCCACCGGGGGTGCACGCGTCCCCGCTGTGCCTTGCAGCCCCCACCGGGCGTGCAGGCATCCCCTGCCCCCTGCCGCCCCCACCGGGCGCGCACGCGTCCCCCTGTGCCGTGCAGCCCCCACCAGGCGTGCACATGTCCCCCTGTGCCGTGCAGCCCCCACCGGGCGTGCACATGTCCCCCTGTGCCGTGCAGCCCCCACCAGGCGTGCAGGCATCCGCCTGGGGACACATGTCACATGGGCGGCTCCCGGCCCCTCCACTGGGACAAACGCATGCCGCAGCAGGAACCCACCTGGTCGGTGTTTTTTTGTCTTCCTCAGAGATCAAAAACCAGACAAAGTCGGCATAGCTGATCTTCCCTTCCTTCTGCACTTTTCTGCCTCTAGATCGAAAGCCAGGATGGAGAGACGAAGATGCATGTCAGGGAGAGCTTCACAGGAACGGAGCCCCTGTCCACGCGCCTCGGTGAGGGGAGCCCCCCGGGCCCGGCCCTCCTCCTGCCCCCCTCCTGCCCCTCCTCCTGCCTCTCCGGGGAGGAGGTGGAGGCCCCGTGGCCAGAGGGTTTTCCCCAGATCCAGGCAGGGTCAGGAGTGCACCTTCGTTACTGCTCACTCAGGCCCAGCGCCCGACAAGAACCCCCGACCTGGGGCCTGGGCCACCCCCTTCCTCAGACTTCGCGTGACAGTCTTGTGCCACCCCCCCCCACTAGGGATTCACGTGACAGAGACACGTGCCCCCCTCGCCAGGGCCTGGGGTGACAACCACTCGCTGTCGGGGCACAAAAAGCTCACGTCAGGCAACGATGAGGAGAGGGACCGGGGTCCTCGCAGGGGCAATGGCTGCCGTCAGGCGCCTGAGCCGTACGTACCGTGTGACTGCTCCTGAGAAGATCCTGTCTATCATCTTGGTAGAAAGGGCTGGAAAGGAATGCGGTTGATGGGCAGCCCGCACCGTGCCTCGGCCCCGACGTCACCACCCCCCGGAGCCGAGACTGGATGCGGTGGGGACCGAAAAGCTGAGAGGACGCCTGGGTCTGGGAGAGCCCCGGGGCCCCGATGCCCCTGCACGGCCCATCCTAGGGGCCCACCACGCTTTCCCGTCGAGCAGAGCCAAGTCCAGCATGAAATCCACAGAGCGCAAAGCTGACCGCGGCTCCAAGACCGACTTGTAAAGAGCAGAATATTCAGGCCTCAAAGGTACAGCTTTCAGACGGAGAGAGAGACCTCGAGTGTGATCACGGAAACAAACACGTTTCAACCAAAGGTTCACCAACGGGAGACGGGAGTGAGACCTCAGCAACGGGAGGCGGGAGTGAGACCTCAGCAACGGGAGGCGGGAGTGAGACCTCAGCAACGGGAGGCGGGAGTGAGACCTCAGCAACGGGAGGCGGGAGGGAGACCTCAGCAACGGGAGGCGGGAGGGAGACCTCAGCAACGGGAGGCGGGAGGGAGACCTCAGCAACGGGAGGCGGGAGGGAGACCTCGCCAACGGGAGGCGGGAGGGAGACCTCGCCAACGGGAGGCGGGAGGGAGACCTCGCCAACGGGAGGCGGGAGTGAGACCTCGCCAACGGGAGGCGGGAGTGAGACCTCGCCAACGGGAGGCGGGAGTGAGACCTCGCCAACGGGAGGCGGGAGTGAGACCTCGCCAACGGGAGGCGGGAGTGAGACCTCGCCAACGGGAGGCGGGAGTGAGACCTCGCCAACGGGAGGCGGGAGTGAGACCTCGCCAACGGGAGGCGGGAGTGAGACCTCGCCAACGGGAGGCGGGAGGGAGACCTCAGCAACGGGAGGCGGGAGGGAGACCTCAGCAACGGGAGGCGGGAGGGAGACCTCAGCAACGGGAGGCGGGAGGGAGACCTCAGCAACGGGAGGCGGGAGGGAGACCTCAGCAACGGGAGGCGGGAGGGAGACCTCGCCAAGGAGAGGCGGGAGTGAGACCTCGCCAACGGGAGGCGGGAGTGAGACCTCGCCAACGGGAGGCGGGAGTGAGACCTCAGCAACGGGAGGCGGGAGTGAGACCTCAGCAACGGGAGGCGGGAGTGAGACCTCGCCAAGGAGAGGCGGGAGTGAGACCTCGCCAACGGGAGGCGGGAGGGAGACCTCGCCAACGGGAGGCGGGAGGGAGACCTCAGCAACGGGAGGCGGGAGGGAGACCTCGCCAACGGGAGGCGGGAGGGAGACCTCGCCAACGGGAGGCGGGAGGGAGACCTCGCCAACGGGAGGCGGGAGGGAGACCTCGCCAACGGGAGGCGGGAGGGAGACCTCGCCAACGGGAGGCGGGAGGGAGACCTCGCCAACGGGAGGCGGGAGGGAGACCTCGCCAACGGGAGGCGGGAGGGAGACCTCGCCAACGGGAGGCGGGAGGGAGACCTCGCCAACGGGAGGCGGGAGGGAGACCTCGCCAACGGGAGGCGGGAGGGAGACCTCGCCAACGGGAGGCGGGAGGGAGACCTCGCCAACGGGAGGCGGGAGGGAGACCTCGCCAACGGGAGGCGGGAGTGAGACCTCGCCAACGGGAGGCGGGAGTGAGACCTCGCCAACGGGAGGCGGGAGTGAGACCTCGCCAACGGGAGGCGGGAGTGAGACCTCGCCAACGGGAGGCGGGAGGGAGACCTCGCCAACGGGAGGCGGGAGTGAGACCTCAGCAACGGGAGGCGGGAGTGAGACCTCACCAAGGAGACGCGGGAGTGAGACCTCAGCAACGGGAGGGGGGGAGGGAGACCTCACCAAGGAGACGCGGGAGTGAGACCTCAGCAACGGGAGGCGGTAGGGAGACCTCACCAAGGAGACGCGGGAGTGAGACCTCAGCAACGGGAGGCGGGAGGGAGACCTCACCAAGGAGAGGCGGGAGGGAGACCTCAGCAACGGGAGGCGGGAGGGAGACCTCAGCAACGGGAGGCGGGAGGGAGACCTCAGCAACGGGAGGCGGGAGGGAGACCTCAGCAACGGGAGGCGGGAGGGAGACGTCGCCAAGGAGAGGCGGGAGGGAGACGTCGCCAACGGGAGGCGGGAGGGAGACGTCGCCAACGGGAGGCGGGAGGGAGACCTCACCAACGGGAGGCGGGAGTGAGACCTCACCAACGGGAGGCGGGAGGGAGACCTCAGCAACGGGAGGCGGGAGGGAGACCTCACCAACGGGAGGCGGGAGTGAGACCTCAGCAACGGGAGGCGGGATTGAGACCTCACCAACGGGAGGCCGGAGTGAGACCTCACCAAGGAGAGGCGGGAGTGAGACCTCACCAACGGGAGGCCGGAGTGAGACCTCACCAACGGGAGGCGGGAGGGAGACCTCACCAACGGGAGGCAGGAGTGAAAGCACCGTCGCCGTCAGCTTGGGCCACGAGAAGGTCCCGCAGCCTGGGCGGCCATCCCTGCGGTCACCGGTGTCCCTGGGACGCACGAGCCAAGGTGCCGCCCCCCGCTTCAGGCCGCAGTGCGTGAGAAACAGCGCAGCCCGGCCGCACACGGCATCCTGCCCTGGGACCGAGAGTGGGCTCCAGAGGAACGCGGAAAGCTGGGGCCGCGCCGGGCCGGGGGTTCACAGGGACAGTGAGCGCCTGGTTCTGGGCCGATTCCCAGCTGTGCAGGTGCTGGCCCAGGCCACACGGGCCGGCGCTGTGGAGCTGTGCTCTCCTCGTGGCTAGTTAGGGGCCCAGGGCGCAGGTGGCTCCCTGAACTGAGCGCAGGACAAATCCAGGGAATGCTACGTCTGCTCAGGTGCGCGTCCGACGCAGGGATCTACTGCGGCCACGCGACCCAGGACCAGCCCCGGGAGACGCAGACGGGTGCAGCTCACGTTCGGGGAACCAGGCGTATTATGAGTCGACCACACACAACAGATGCCACCGTAATTCGGAAACAGTCTTGGTCATATGGTTTTTTGGGGTAAAAAGCACACTTAAAGGAATCCTTTAGAAAACTCAAGCCCCACAGGCCACAGGCCGCTTTGAGTTCCTGCAAGTGTGGATGACTCTTAGAGGGGCCGGGAGGCAGTGGCTGCTGTGAGGACACCTGGGCGGCACCGGCTCCCGCGGAGGTATATGAACGACCGCTAAGCCTGGGGCTCCACCTAGCCCGGGATTGGATGGAAACTGCTCCAGGCCTTGGGGGCTGGAACCTGGAGCTCCTGAGGGAAGGCGTGTGGCCTGCCCGCCCTTGCTCGGGTGTTAACAAGGAAGCCCCACAGCGCTGCTGGCCCTCGGGCCAGGAGCTTCAGGACCAGCGGCCCACACTGACCCTGTAGACGCCCCCAGGCAGAGGCCTCGGGCAGAGGCGCACGCGGGGACCCAGACACGGGGCAGCGACTGGGGAAGGAGAGGCAGCTGCAGACACAGAGCGGCGAGTGCGAAGGAGAGGCAGCTGCAGACACAGAGCTGGGAGTGCGGAAGGAGAGGCAGCTGCAGACCCGCAGGCCCTGAGAGAAGGGTGTGCTCGGTGTCCGCGCGGCCCGCCCGCCCCTGTGCCCCCACGCACCGTGGTCATTGTGCCGCGCCAGGTCGTCCGCGTCGATGAGCAGGTCGTGGTCCGTGTCCAGCTCCCCGAACTTGCAGTAGATGACGTAGAAATGCTCGTACGAGAAGAATTCGGTCAGCTGGTTGATGTCCGCCTCCTCCTCCAGCAGCGCCACATTCTGCCAAAGGACCCAGGCGGCCTGAGCGCGGGGCCTCTGCGGGGATGCCCCAAGTCCGCCTGGCTGCGGGCGGGGCAGGGAAGGCTGGGAGGGTCGGGGCCGCTCCGTGGGTGGGGGGGACTGGGCAGCTGGGGCCGGGGGGCACTCCGAGTGGGGGCAACTCTGCGGTGGGGGGAGCTCCAGCATGGGGGTGGCTCCCTAGGCGGGTGTGGGGGTGGGGGCAGCTCTGGGGGAGTCAGGGCTCGGCTCCCCCTCAGGGTGGTGCCCAGTACGGCCCCACCCGCCTCCTAGATCAACCGTGGACCCCCAACCGCAGGCGGCGGGGTTCCAGTGCTCACAGGCCTGGGGGTGGGCTGGGAGCGCGGTGGAGGTGGGGGTGGGGGTGGGGGTGGGAGAGGGGGTGGGAGGGGAGGAGGGAGGGGGGAGGAGGGAAGGGAAGGGAGTGGAGGTAGGAGGGGTAGGGACAAGGCAGGGGGCAGGGGACAGGGGGCCGCTCCGCACCTGCAGGAAGGAGCTCCTCCGCAGCTCGGCGCAGGTGATCCTGCCGGACCAGGACCGGTTCACGGCGTAGAAGATCCGCTGGATGACCTGCGGGGGCGCTGTCAGTGCGGTGGGTGCGCAGAGACCCCCAGGAGCCTCGCCCCGCACGGAGACCGGGAGCCGGGAGAGGGGCGCGCCCTTGGTCTCAGCCGCACGGGGCCGCCAGGGCACAGGCGGGGGCAGAGGGAAGGGCCCTGCGGGAGGCGCCGCCCCAGGCCGCGGAAAGCGGGGAGGGTCTGGCCGGGGACGCCCCGGAGCTACACGGGCCCAGGACAGGTGGGAAGGGGGTGCGGCCACCCCGGAAAACCAGAGTCCCCCCAACACCGGGCTCCCGGGCGGGTGGAGACTCTCCCAGAGCGCGGCCGCCTCCTCCGGAAGCTCAGGAACCCCGGGCCCCGCCCGCCCCGTCCGCAGAAGCCCCGCGGCGGCCGCTGCAGAAACACCCGCGCCCCGCGCTGGAACCGACGGCCCCTCCGCTGGGGACCCACCGTGGTGATGTAGCGCGAGTGGAACTCGGACGCCTCCTTCAGGAACGACAGCCCCGGGTGCGTGTTCACCACGTCCTGCGGGTGGGAAGACACGAGGCGCGTGGTGTAGACGCCGGCCCTCCCGTGAGGTGTGCGGTGTGGACGCTGCAGACGCGGACCCTCCCGTGAGCGATGAGGTGTGCGGTGTAGACGCCGGCCCTCCCGTGAGGGATGAGGCGTATGGTGTAGACGCCGGCCCTCCCGTGAGGGATGAGGCATGTGGTGTAGACGCGGGCCCTCCCGTGAGGTGTGCAGTGTAGACGCGGACCCTCCCGTGAGCGATGAGGTGTGCGGTGTAGACGCGGACCCTCCCATGAGGGATGAGGCATGTGGTGTAGACGCGGGCCCTCCCATGAGGTGTGCGGTGTAGACGCGGACCCTCCCGTGAGGGATGAGGCGTGTGGTGTAGACGCCGGCCCTCCCATGAGGCATGCGGTGTAGACGCGGGCCCTCCCGTGAAGGATAAGGCCTGTGGTGTAGACGCAGGCTCTCACCTGCAAGAAGGGGACAAAGTCCTCCTGCACCAGGTAGTTGCAGCCGGGGCTCATGAGCAGATGGACGAACTTGGCCGCGTCGTCGTGGCAGTTCTGGAGGATTCTGGAAGGACAGGATGACTGGGCACCACCCTCACAGGGGGGTGGCTTTCGACCCCGCAGACGCAGGGTGGAACACGTGTGTGGTGTTCCACGTGGTGCGTGGCAGGTGGCCACACACGACGGCCAGGCCTGTGCCCGTACAAGGGTTTCTCCTCTCACTGCGGCAGCCTCAGGGGGCACCCGTCCTGGCACCACGGGGACCCGGGGACGCCTCCGCCCTCCCGACACAGCCCCCTGCCCAGCCCAGGACTCACTTTCTCCACATGGCGACGAACTTGTGGACGGACACGGAGCCCGTGCGCTCCCCGCCGGCGCCATAGAAGAGCGGCCCCTTCCAGTAGAGGGGGCAGCCGCAGGCCTGGGGCAGAGAGGGCAGGAGTGGGCAGTCAGCAGGGCCTGGACGCCGGCGCTCCTGCTGCGTACCTCGCGCCTGACCGACGCCGCCCAGAGACCCTCTGCTGCAGAAAGACACAGCACGCTCAGCGCGGCCTGTCTGGGCATCTGCAAACTCAACGTGGCTTTCGCTCCAGCCTTCAATCAGTCATGAGAGCTGAGCGTGGGAGTGCCGGGCACGCAGTATCCCCTGACCACAGACCACGCGTGGGCACTGTAACCAGAGGCGGCTGCATCCCCAGCGTCTGGAAATCAAGCGGCACGTACTAAGAACCAGTAAGTACGGGAATAAATGGCCCCGTCAGCCAGGCAACGCGGTGAATCGGACGGCGACAGAAACATCTCATGGAATGTGTGGGACGCACCTACAGCAGCGACCCATGGCAGGTTCACAGCCTTAAATACACGCGTGAGGAAGGAAAGTTTAAAATCGATCGTCTACACTTCTACCCCAAAGGAACAAATACATGGCAGAGATGGAACGCAAAGTAAATAGTAACAGAAAATCAACAAAATCAAAACTCGATGATTTGAAAGATTTCTTAAAAATTAATTAACCCTGGCTGGCTGGGCGTGGTGGCTCATGCCTGTAATCCCAGCACTTTAGGAGGCCGAGGGGGGTGGATCACCTGAGGTCAGGAGTTCGAGACCAGCCTGGCCAACATGGTGAAACCTCGTCTCTACTAAAAACACAAAAATTAGCCTGGCATGGTGGCGGGCGCCTGTAATCCCAGCTACTCGGGAGGCTGAGGCAGGAGAATCACTTGATCCTGGGAGGTGGAGGTTGCAGTAAGCCACGATCACACCACTGCACTCCAGCCTGGGTGACAGAGAGAGACTCTGTCTCAAAAAAAGAGCAAATACAGATTAGCCATGTCAGCTGTAACTACAGATCCTACAAACATCAGATAGTGGATGCTCATGAATCACTTTATGCCTGTAAGTCAGATGACTGCTGAAACAGACTCCCCGATGAACAAGTCAAAAAATAAACTACAATAGAAAATCTGAAAGAGCTGTTTCTGCAAGAAATTGTGTCCATAATTTAAAACTGTCCCACCAAGAAAATTCCAGCCCCCAAAGGCTGCTCCCATGAGTCGACCAAACATTGAAGGAAGAAATCACACATGCGTTCCCCTGGAGAAGAAAAACGAGGGGCGTTTCCCAGTGCCTGTTCCGAGGCTGGCACAGCCTGGACGCGGTCAGGGACACAGGAAGTCACAGGCCAGTTATCACTGGAGAGCAGAGGCAGAAATCCCACACAGAACACACAGTAGCAAGTCCAACTCGGCAATAATAGAACAGGAATATCTAATAATAATAATAGACCAGGAAACCAGAATCAGGAGGGACACTCTTATTCTCATAAAGGGTGCTATGGCCTGAATGCCTGGGTCCCCAAGATCCACGTGCTGAAATCCTCTCCCCCGAGGCGATGGTGTTGGGAGGTGGGGCCTCATGAATGCGATGAGTCCCCTTCTGAGGGACCCCAGAGAGCTCCCTCACCCCTTCCACCCCGTGAGGACGCAGCGGGAAGGCGCCGTCGATGAACCAGGCACCACTCTGCCACACCGAGATCTTCCAGCCTGCAGACCTGTGAACAGTAAATGTCTTGCTGGTGACAAGCTGCCCGGGCTATGGTGTTTCTTGACAGCAGCCTGAATGCTCAGACAAAGGGCCTCTACGAAACACCCCAGCTGCTCAGACAGCGATGACACATGAACACTTCCTCCCTGTGCTGGGAACAAGAGGACAGTGTCACCACCAAGGCCGCCTGGACGGCCGAGCCAGGGCAGCAGGCAAGGGAAAGACCGAAAGATACGACGACGGGTAAGAAGAGGCAGAACCGTCATGATTCACAAGCAACACACTGTGTAGACAATCCAAATGCTTACCAAATACGGGAATTAATAAGTATCTTCAGCAAAGTTGCTGGATCCAAGGACTATATGCAAAAATAAATTATTTCAATATACTGGCAACAAACAACTAAAAATAAAATCTTCAATAATGCCATCTATCAAGAGCATGAAAAATCAACCTACGAAAAATGGAACAAAAATCACACACAGTGTCTACAAAGCAAACTGCAGGGCACGGCTGGGTGAAATCAAAGACGACCTCAACGTGGTGAGGTGGACCTCACTGCTGAGTTCACAGACTGCAGTTTCCTCCAGACGACTCTGTTGACCCAGAGTCCACGCGATCCCCACCCACAGAGTCCAGCAATCCCCATCCACATGCACCGAGGGCCTGTTGTTTTGGGGTTTGTAGTATACACGGACAGGCTCATGTGAAAACTTACCAGGGAACACAAAAGAACTCACAGGGGGACCAAGTTGGTGGATATGAGTCCCACTGCCCGGTTTCAACCCTTCCTGTAAAGTCAGAGTAATGAAGACTCAGTCAGTCTCTGTCGGGCACCGGTGGCCTAAGAGAGCAAGGGAAGGAAGTGAGTTGGGACAGAGCCCCGTGGAATATCCACAGGCAAAGACACTTCACACAAACTGAATACCAGGGGATCCCAGCCCGAAGGGTGAAAGGCCAAACAGCGGCCCCTCCTGGAAGGAAACGAGGGACGCTGCACGGCTCTGCCGCGGCCAAGGTTTCTTTCACGGGCCACACGTGCGCTCCCTGAAGGAAGGGAGCACCGCTGCACCGCCCCAGCGCAGGACTCAGGGTCAGCTACCGGCACGGTGAACACCATGACAGGACATGACACAGAGGGAGAAATGTCTCTGCAAGGCGAGATTCTGACGAGGGACTCAGAGGCAGAATTTTAAGCATCAGTGAGAAAGAGGCCCGAACACGACCGAGTGGACATGCACTGCCCTCCGGAGAGGGGTGCACGGTGGCCGTAGACAAGGGGAAGCGCCCAGCACTGGCGCCGGCGAGGGCAGGGTTCACGGGGCATGGAGAGGTGGCAACAAGAACATGACACGCGCGGCTGAGACAAAAAGGACTGAAGACGCCAGGTCCCGCGAGGCTGCCAGGCAGCTGGGTGTCCTCCGCGTTGCTGGGGGAACTGGGACGCCACGCAGCTGCCGGGAAAGCGGCCCACGGGGCGGCTGAGCGTAAAGCCCCGTGGCCCGGCCAGGACATCTGTCCTCCCAGAAGCACACCAGTGGGAAGAGGGCCCGTGCCCGTGAGAGCCTGCACGGATGGGGACGTCGGCTGCTTGGTTCACGGTGCCCCAGGCGAGAGGAGTCGGACGCCAGAGCAGGGACTGGAGGAATAAACTGTGGCAGAGTCGTCCTGACAGGTGCAGGGCGGGAGTGACCACGGGGGGGCGTGGGGGACTGCGGAGGGGGCTGCGCGCCACAGCGGGGATTGCAGTGCTGCTATGGGAAAGGACGCGCTCCGGCTGGCGCACCTGTGGATGACTTGAAGGCAGCCGTGTGCGGCTGGAGGGGCCGGGCCCCGCAGGACGCACAGGCACGTGCCGGCTCCCGTGATGAGGATCCTGACGGAGCTCAGCCCTGGCCACCTGGAAGGGCGTCCCGGTGCGGTGGGAGGGAACGAGCCGGGTGCAGCACCGGGTCCTTGGGCTAGTGCTAGTCCCACGCTTTTGACCTCATGAGACCATTCTGGCTCACAGGCCGTGCAGGTTTCAAACCCCAAGCGCTCAACACCCAGGGATGGGGGGATGTGTGAGCCTTCACATCTGTGCTCCTCACCGCGTGCAAGACACACCGTCATGACCCGGTGGCAGGGATGGAGCATCAGATCTATCCAGCCGTGCAGGATATAGCGTCTCATGTGTCCAGACCTGCAGGCTGGAGTGCAGTGTGTGATCACAGCGTGATCCATTTTTATTCTACTTGTTTTTCGAGACACGGTCTTGCTGTTGCCCAGGCTGGAGTGCAGTGTGTGATCACAGCGTGATCCATTTTTATTCTACTTGTTTTTCGAGACACGGTCTTGCTGTTGCCCAGGCTGGACTGCAGTGTGTGATCACAGCGTGATCCATTTTTATTCTACTTGTTTTTCGAGACACGGTCTTGCTGTTGCCCAGGCTGGAGTGCAGTGTGTGATCACAGCGTGATCCATTTTTTATTCTACTTGTTTTTCGAGACACGGTCTTGCTGTTGCCCAGGCTGGAGTGCAGTGTGTGATCACAGCGTGATCCATTTTTTATTCTACTTGTTTTTCGAGACACGGTCTTGCTGTTGCCCAGGCTGGAGTGCAGTGTGTGATCACAGCTCAGTGCAGTCTCAACTTCACGGGCTCAAGCAATCCTCCCACCTTAGCCTCCCAAGTAGCTGGCACCACAGGTGCGCGCTATCATGCCTGGGTAATTTTTTTAATTTCTACAGTGAAGTCTCACTATGTTGCCGAGGCTGGTCTGGAACCCTTGGCCGCAAGCCATCCTCCCGCCTTGGCCTCTCAAAGTGCTGGGACTACAGGGATGACACTGCAACCAGAGACAGCTGCACCCCCGGCGTCTGGGGGATGAGAACTGAGCGGGAGAGTGCTGGGCACACAGTCCCCCCACCACACCAAACCCGAAAATTACCTCCAAATGAATTAGCTCATAATTTAAAATAATCCTAAAGTAAATGGAGATAATCAACTCTAAAATGCAAAAGATACAAAGGAAAGCAGTTTTACCTGAATGTCACAAAATCCTTATGGGAAAGGGAATAAAACATCAGATACCCTGATCTGACTTTTAAAAGTCTTTTCGTGATCGACACACAGAAAGACCGACTCCTTGTGGGGCCCGGCAACGCGGCGGCACGCCCACCCGCACGGCCAGGACAGGGAACGAGGCCGCCAGCCCTGACAGTCCCTTCGGCCCCTCCGCAGTCCGCTACGGCGACGGCCCCCAGGCCTCCTCCCCGTGGCTCCAGTTCACCTTTTCCAGGACACGGCAACGGGACCCGGCCATCTGCGGACTTTTAGACCTGGCTTCCCTCGCTCAGCACACGCGTGTGGGACTCACACACCTTGCTCTGTGTGGATCGTCTGCCCACCTTGCTCTGTGTGGATCGTCTGCCCACCTTGCTCTGTGTGGATCGTCTGCCTGTGTACTGCTGAACCCTATTCCATTATGGCTCTGCTGACCTCAGAGTAGCTCCCTGAGCAGGAAACACCGCCGGCCCCAAGGCCCACGTGATGGTGCTGCTGAGGGGGACTCGCGAGGCAGACAAAGTCCCGAGCGTCTACAGTCGCACAGGGCACGCCGACACCGACCGACAGGTGTGAGAGGAGAAAGGAGGACGCCACAACCACGGCCGGCAAGTTCAGCACGCGTTCCTCGGCGGGTGACGGGACAAGAGGACGATCTGCAGACACGTAAAGATGTGAAAACGCTGCCGAGCTATGTGAGCGAGTGACATCGCGGAGCCAGAGGAGTCTTCAGGGTCACATGAACCAGTGGTGGGCTGTGGCTCGGAGCCCCCACCCAAGTCTCACGGGGAACTGTGATCCTGAGTGTTGGAGCAGGGCTCTGCTGGGGGGTGACTGGGTGATGAGGGTGGACAGCCCCCTTGCCGGTCTCGTAATCCTGAGTTCTTGTGAGATCCGATGGTCTAAAAGTGGGTGGCAGTGGCCGGGTGCGGTGGCTCAGGCCTGTCATCCCAGCACTTTGAGACGCCAAGGCGGGTGGATCACCCGAGGTCAAGAGTTCGAGACCAGCATGGCCAACATGGTGAAACCCCGTCTCTCCTAAAAATACACAAATTAGCCGGGTGTGGTGGCGCATGCCTGTAATCCCAGCTACCCAGGAGGCTGAGGCAGGAGAATGGCTTGAACCCAGGAGGCGGAGGTTGCAGTGAGGTGAGATGGTGCCATTGCACTCCAGCTTGGGTGACAGAGCAAGACTCTGTCTCCAAAAAAAAAAGAGAAAAGATGATACAGACAGCCTGTGTTTATTGAAACAATTCATGCTGTCATTAAAAACCTTCCCACAGAGAAAACTATCCCAAATGGCTTCACTGATGAGTTCTGCCAAACATTCAAATAAAAATAACACCCATTCTAAACAAATGGCTCCAGAAAAGTGAATTCTAAAGGACATTTTCCAAGCAACTCTCCGAGGCCAGCATCCCCCCGATGCTAAACCAGACCAAGCTATCACAAGAAAAGGAGACCGCAGGCCAGTCCTTCACGAGCGCAGACGCAACCCCTGCGAGGCCTGGCAATGTGGACCCAACACATAGGAGAAGTGTGACACTGTGTGGTGGACCAGGGACCGGGGGCTGGGGGCTCACCCAAAGACCGGGGGCTCACCCAAAGACCGGGGCTCACCCAAAGACTGGGGCTCACCCAAGGAGCAGGGGCTCGCCCAAAGACCGGGGCTCGCCCAGGGACCGGGGGCTCACCCAGGGAGCAGGGGCTCACCCAAAGACCAGGGCTCACCCAAAGACCGGGGGCTCACCCAAAGACCGGGGCTCGCCCAGGGACCGGGGGCTCACCCAGGGAGCAGGGGCTCACCCAAAGACCAGGGCTCACCCAAAGACCAGGGCTCATCCAAAGACCGGGGCTCACCCAGGGAGCAGGGGCTTGCCCAGGGACCAGGGGCTCACCCAAAGACCGGGGCTCGCCCAAAGACCGGGGCTCGCCCAAAGACCGGGGCTCACCCAGGGACCAGGGGCTCGCCCAAACACAGGGGGCTCACCCAAAGACTGGGGGCTCACCCAAACACCGGGGGCTCACCCAAACACCGGGGGCTCACCCAGGGACCGGGGGCTCACCCAGGGACCGGGGGCTCACCCAGGGACCGGGGGCTCACCCAAACACCGGGGGCTCACCCAAACACCGGGGCTGCCTTCACACTCAGACGTCAGTCAGGTCAAGACCAGTCCTTCATGACCACAGACGCTACCCCTGCGTGGCCGGGCAATGCACGCTGCGGTGGAACAGGGACCGGGGGCTCACCCAAGGACCGGGGCTGCCTTCACACTCAGACGTCAGTCAGGTCCATTCACCTTTTACAGGACCAAAGGAAAACCTCACTGCCCTCTCAATACACGCAGAAATACACATTTAGCATCCCGGACAAACTTCAAGGCACTTTTATAATTTTAAAAAGTAAACTGAGGCCAGGCGTGATGGCTCATGCCTGTCATCATCCCAGCACCATGAGAGGCTGAGGCAAGAGGATCCTTCCAGCCCAGGAGTTCCAGACCAGCCTGGGCAACATAGCAGAACCCTGTCTCTACCAAAAAAGAAAAAATCAGCCAGGTGTGGTGGCGGGTGCCAGTAGTCACGGCTACTCGGGAGGGCTGAGGTGGGTGGATCACTGGAGCCCAGGAGGTCGAGGCTGCAGTGAGCTGAGATCATGCCACTGCACTCCAGCCCGGGGGCAGAATGAGAACCTGTCTCAAAAAAAACACAAGAGCTCCCAGCAAACAAGAAACCAAAAGGGAAGGGGCCTCCTGAGTCTGATGAAGGACGCCAGGCAGGGCCGCTGCGTCACGGACGACTTGAGCCCGAGGCGGGAAGGGGCGTGCTCTCCACGGCTCTCCAGCACTGCACTGGCAGGCCGAGCCTGTGTACAGAAAGTCAGGGAGGAGACACCGATGCAGACGAGAAGAGAAAGGCTGAACTGTGCTCACCTGAAGATGACCTGACCGTGCGTTAGAGACTCTGCCGGACTTAAAGGTTGAGCTGGTAGAGCCGATGACTGAGTTAAACTTGGTCAGAAAATGCAAAGTCCACATATAAAACCTAACAGTGCTTCTCAACATTCACAATTGACAATCATATTAAAGTAAAAAAATACCACGTACAGTGTCATCAGAAACAGGAAATGCTTGGGTATCAATGTGATGAACCGTGAACAAGACCAAACTACAAGGCGTACTGAAAGAAGTGAAAGATGCCTGAAATAAGGGAGAGCTGGACCGCGTTCATGAGACGGAAGCCTCAATATGGTCAAGATTCTTCCAAGTTCATCTGGAGTCAACAGGATGCCCATGTAATCCCAGCAGGCTGTCGTAGCAACGGAGGGACCGGCTCTAAAATTCACACGGTGGGAACGAACAACGGTGCAGCCACTCGGGAAGACAGCGTGCAGGTTCCCCAGAAAGCCGGAAGTGGAACTGCACGCGCACACGGAACACCACGCGATCCGGCCCTCCACACACGCACATGGAACACCGTGCTGTATATGCCACAAACGTCTCCGAGTTCTGTGCTCCAAATGGTTACGGTGGTGAATTCTGTTGTGTGAATTTTCCCATAATAAAAAAAAGTGCCTGCTGTCTGATTCTGTTTACATAAAATTCCAGAAAATTCCGGCTAATCTATATTGACAGAAAGGAGGCCTGAGGTAGCGTGGGATGAGGGCAGGTGCGCGTCAGAAAGCAGCAGAGAAAAGTCCAGCGCACGTGCCCGCTCAAGCGCAAGGATGCAGGGACGCCTATTGTCTTGGTGCTGTGGATAGTTTCATGGGTGGGTACAGACGTCAAAGCTCATTGAATTGTACCTTCCACACGCACCATGCATCCCACATCAGTTATATCTCAACACAGCTGCCCCAAAATGAAAAAAAGGCAAACTGATGAGAAAGAAACACGTAAGGTGGTCAACACGTACATCAGGGAAATGAGGAGTGCAGCCAGGACGGGACGCCTGCACACGCACAGAACGGCTAAAGGCAAAGCGTGTGGCCACGTGCCCGCAGGGGTCAACGCTGCTGCCTGGAAATGCGTCACTCAGGGCCACCCCGGAAGCAGGGTTTTTTGTTTTTTGTTTTTTTGCGTAGAGACACAGTCTTGCTCAGTCGCCCAGGCTGGAGTGCAGTGGTGCGATCTTGGCTCACTGCAACCTCCACCTCCCAGGTTCAAGCGATTTTCCTGTCTCAGCCTCCCGAGTAGCTGGAATGACAGGTGCCCGCCACCATACCTGGCTAATTTTTGTATTTTTAGTAGAGATGTGGTTTCATCATGTTGGCCAGGCTGGCCTCGAACTCCTGACCTCAGGTGATCTGCCTACCTCAGCCTCCCGAAGTGCTGGGATTAGTGGAGTGAGCCACCACTCCTGGGCCCTGGAAGCAGTTTTATAGCTTCTTACAAAACTAAACATGTGGCCACCAGATGAGGCAGAGCTCACCTCTGCGGTATTAATCACCTCAGGAAAATGCAAGCATGTCTGCGTAAATCAGTGCACAGACACACAGCAGCTTTACTCACAAGAAGCAAAAACCAAAGCAACCAGACGTCTATCAACCCTGGAACAGGGGAGAGATGGAGCACACACACAGCAGAAGCTACTCAGTGATAGAAAAGAAACTGCCCATACGGCCAGGGACACATAGTGAGCCCCACAGTATCCACACCCTGGCCAGCCACACGGGAGCCCCACGGTAACCACGCCTTGGCCAGCCACACAGCGAGCCCCACAGTATCCACACCCCGCCAGCCACACAGCGAGCCCCACGGTAACCACGCCTTCGCCAGCCACACAGCGAGCCCCACAGTATCCACACCACAGGACTTAATCAGTCCTCAACACACACACATAGCGAAACATCTTGCTGTACCCTGTATACACAAATATTACTTGTCCATTCAAAATAAAATTTAAAATAAAGATGCTGCCAGGAAGAAGTTAGAAACCACAGACAAAATGCTCCAAGAGTCCTCATGTGAAATTCTAAGAGAGGCAAAGCTACAGCGACCGGAAGCACATCTGCAGCTGGCCCGGGCCAGGGAGAAAAGAGGGGAATGATGAGGTGCAAAAGGAGGCACGTGGGACACCCGCGGCAGGTGACAAACGGCCGGTCCTGCCTATGAGGATGGATACCCAGGTGTGTGCTTTACCAAAATGGATCAAATTGTACACTTAAAATTGGTGAATCTTAGGGTGTGTAATTATATGACAATACAGCTGGCCAAACAAAAAACTATTCAATAAACTAAAAAAAATGACAGAAGGAAGTGTATGTAAAAAAGATGACCATAGATATTCATGAGAGAAAGAACTGAAATAATCTGTAACACTGACAGCTGCTTTACTGAAAGAGATATACGTTAGTGTGTAGCATGACGGATCAAGAAAGGAACCGGAAATAAATGATTCTGTCAAGAAAGTGTCTATGTATGATGCAGATACGATCAAGATTTTGTAAATCGTACAAGACAAGGAAAAGCTTTAGAGCAAGAAATTTCTAAGTTACGCAAAAAATTTTTAGAAAAAATGTAAATCATCAAAATAGTCTCCATAAATGAAAACCCTGAATTAGCCAACAACGTTTGAAGGAAATTAACAAAGAGAAAAGTGTGTTTTCCTGTGGGGGCAGCTGAGGGGGTGGAGTTTGGTGGAGGTGAAGGAGCTGATGACTCTGTCTCAAACGGCTTCAGAGAAAACACAGAGGAGTGACAATGATGAAAGGGAGGAAATGATGTATGAGATCAGCCCTGACTCACACAGACAGGAAGAACCGGGCCAGGAGAAGGCACACACGGACCTCGCTGCACGGCCACGGCTAAGATCCACGGGGGGACCCCCCTCATCAAACTCAAAGTCCCCTCAGACGTGAGTTCTCAAGCAGCCGCCGGCCAAAGTCCACCCGCCTGACAACACGCGTGTGGAGCTGTGACTCCAGGCCCTCATTCAGTCACTCACGCGACGGGGAGAACTCGAAACGGCAGTGACACCCCTACTCGTTCGTCCCCTGGGCCGGGGGCCCGGCTCACAGAAAACCGTCCCAAAGGCACACGATGGAGACGTGGACGGACATCTGCAGGTGGCGGCGAGCTGGGCGCCACCGAGACAGGCTCAGCAGCCTTGGCGGGGAAGCTGAAGTTTGCCTGCGGCCCCCACACACGCGGGACGCTCACAGGGTTCTGCCGCCACAGCGCAGGTGGATTAAGTCGCGACAGCGCACACCCTGCTGGCCTCTGCCCACAGTCACGGTGGGTGCTCGAGCACCATGCTCTCCGCCTGCAGGGCCGGGTCGGTGCGTGCAGGCACAGTGGGGCCTGTGGAGGTGTCTCTCGGACTCCCAGCGGTGCAGACGCTGCAAGCGACACAACTTCAGTCTCAGAGCTCTCCCCTGCCCCGCTGGGTCACACCCAGGTCACCCTGCTTCTCTGGGGCGTCGAAGACAACGACAAAACTTGCTTTTTACCACCAAACGTGACATCCAGCCAACGGACCAGGTTCTTTCAAGTCTTAAAGCCTCACTACCTTAGACGGCCACCAAGGCCAGTGCCGCTGTGCGTGGAAGCGAGGTGACACCGAGAACTGAGTCCTGGAAGGAAAATGACATGAAACGCGCACATGAGAACCAGGCGCCGAGGCGGGGAAGCACCGCGGAGGGGGGGTGGCCGCTGTGGGGGGCGGCACCACGGTGGGGGGAGGCGCCGTTGGGGAGAAGCACCGTGGGGATGAAGCACCGCGTGGGGAGGGGCGCTGTGGCGGGGAAGCACCGTGGGGACGGGCGCCCTGGCGGGGAAGCACCGCGGCGGGGGTAGGGGAGGGCGGGGCGGCGCCCTGGCGGGGAAGCACCGCGGCCGGGGAGGGGCATCGTGGCGGGGAAGCACTGAGGGGAATACATGGGTCCCATGCAGGAACCTCACTGGGCTGCGCGAGCGGCTTTGTAGGACCCGAAGCGGACGCAGCGCGTGAGCTGCAAAAGAGGTGTCTGACCCAGCCCGAGGCGCGCAGAGACCCTGTGGGTGGGGCCGGGCGCACTCCGCGAGGGTGAGTTCTCCACACAACGGAGGCTGTACTGAAAAGGATGAAGGTGTCCCAGCAGACGGAATGCCAGCAAAGAGACCTCCCAGTGAAGGAACTCTCAGAGATACCCCACAACTTCAAGAGCACCAAGGATAAAACGCGGAAGCTGAGCAAGGCGTGTTAAGTCGAGTGAGTCTGCCAGGGCACGGAGCAGGTGCTCACTCCACACGGGACAAGGAGATGGCACTGCTGTAACTACTTTTGGCAAGTTTTTACTGAGAGATGAAACAATTCTTAATGCTTCTGGTGTTTTAAGTTACAGCATACTAGGTAAATATTAGTTCTTTTCATTCACTACATGTTTGCAACCGACTGTAAGAAAGTTTCTAATATTTCAACAAAAATGATTATAGAATGATCCTAATTTTTACTGGAAGATGGTTTTGCATGGTTGTGACTTATCTGGTCCTTTCATGGCCCCACACTGCCGTACAAGACAGGGACACCTCTACAAATACGGAGTGACTTAGCAAAAACAAATATGCAAGTGTACAACAGCATGCTAATTTTTCTCTAAGAAATGCAAGAAGTATGTATGTTCATACTCATACACATATTTGTACATAATTGCTCATATTAAAAGCTAAAATAACAATAAGAGGATAAACCAAAGCTATGGAAACTATTACCTCTGGGGTAGAAACAGCACAGACAGGGACAGAACCTGGACTTACCTGAATGTGTCTAGTTTGTTAGTGCTCACTTTGTAACCATGGAGGTTTTTACATATTTATAAAACAAAACTTTTTAAAATACTTTAAAAACACAATCCCTAATAGAAAAAGGGCGGGGACACTTAATGTGTTCTTTCAGACCCGTATTGCCCTAAAACCAAAACCAGACAAAGGACTCACAAGAAAACTACCAAGCACTGTCTTCTCTGTGAATCCAGTTGCAAAATTATTGGAATCCAGCAACATATAAAAAAGATGAGACACAGCGACCATGCGGAATTTATCCCAGGAATGCAAGGTTGGTTTAACATCCCAAAACCAACTCATTTAATAGACTGTATTAATAAGTTAAAAAAACAAAACCCGGCCAGGTGCAGTGGCTCATGCCTGTAATCCCAGCACTTTGGGAGGCCGAGGCAGGCGGATCACTTGAAGTCAGGAGTTCAAGACCAGCCTGGCCAATATGGTGAAACCCCATGTCTACTAAAAATATAAAAATTAGCCAGGCATGGTGGTGCATGCCTATAGTCCCAGCTACTTGGGAGGCTGAGGCAGGAGAATCACTTGAACCCAGAAGGTGGAGGTTGCAGTGAGCCGAGATTACACCACTGCACTCCAGCCTGGGTGACAGAGCAAGACTTTGTCTCAAACAAGCAAACCCAAAAAACAAAAACCTGCTCACTCCCGAGGACCCCCTTCACAGCTGCAGAGCTGGAGAGGGCTGGGGGGCAGGGGTCTCACCGTGAGGGGCTCACATGTACCGTGCACCGAGGCTCTGGGGCTCTGACTTGGAGGGGTGGGAGCATCCACTGGCCAGCGACTCCACCTGGAGGGTAGGAGGCTGGAGATGCGGGCACAGGTCCCTGGAAACACAACCACCCACCAGGGGTCCAGACACGCATCTCTGGTGTAGGCCTTGCCTTGGTAACGGACAGACACTAAACTGAGTGTGCTCCATCTGTGGGCGTCCAGGCGGTCAGCCTGGAGAGCATGCAGCTGAGAAGGAAAGCAGGCGGCGAATGATGCACGCCGCGCCGCAGCACTCAGGGTGAGTCTAGAAATGGGCCCATGGGGCTGCTGCCAGGAGACGGGTCCACAGCTGCCCAGCCTGGGATGGCCGCTCCTCGGGCAGAAAGGGGCAAGGCCAGGAGGGTGCAGAACGGCCTCCGAGAGCCACGAGAGCTGGCGCCACTGGCCCCGGAGGGGAGAGAAGGGGAGGGTGGCACAGGGCGGGCCTGCGCTCTTCACAGCATCAGGATGAGAATGCAGACGGAATTCCCACTCGCATTTCAGATGCTTAAGAATTCACACAGCAGCAACCAGACAGCAAACCTCAGACCACAACTATAACCTCAGAGAAAACCTGGGCCGCTCCCGCACACGTGTGAAACGCACCCTCCTCGGCCGTGCCGCCTCACTCACGCTCGTGTGACACGCACCCACCACGGCCGCTCCGCCTCACCCTCACATGCCCGCAGTACCACCTCGGCTGCTCCACGTCCCACGCGTGACACGTACCTTGGCCACCAGGCCCATGTCATCCATGGTGGCCCTCTCGTGGGGGAACCGGGCGAAGGTGCTCTCGATCTTGCTGATGACGGCATCCACGTTGACGGAGTCCTGCGGGCGTCCTCTGGGGAAGTAGAAGGTCGGAATGCTTTGGCTCGTGGCCGGGGGCAGAGGCTCTTCTTTCCGTGTCTGAACCTGAAGAGTCGACAGACAGCGCTCAGTTAGAACCTGGGAGCATCGAACGCCTTCTTCACCCGGACAACACACGGGGCCTCTCTAGGGCCGACAGTGCTGAGGCCACCTGATCCCAGCCGGGAGAGGACACACTGCAATCCCTGCGGGGGACCACACACGTACTCCACTGCAGGGCCCACCTTCACCCAGGAGGCCACACCATGCTGCCATGGACCCCACTCTGGGTGGCGGCTCTGCGCCACTGAGCCCCCATCACACCGAGCAGGGCCCTGGGGACAAGGGCAGCTACGTGCCCCAGGCACCTGAGAGCCCAGCCAGGACCCACTCCCGATTCCCATGAGCCACACCACTGACCCCACCACACCTGGCAGGGACCTGGGGAAAAGGGCAGCCACGCACCCCAGACGCCTGAGAGCTCAGACGTGGAGAGGCACAGGTGCCGTCCACAGGCAACCCTGTCCCTGGAGCCCGGAAGACTCACATTCTGAGAGGCAGAGGCAGGGCAGGCAACCACACAGCCAGGAGAAGGGGTCGACCACCAGGTACTGCTGCGGACACGCCTCAGCCCCTCACCCGGTGCACAGCCCACGCCCACGGGCTCTTGGCCCCACTCAGCACCAGCACTCTCCTCACCCAGTATATCTGCAGGCCCCAGAACACTCACTCAAGAGTCTCCTGCTTGCATCTCTACACAACCTGCGAGGTGGACATTTGATCTCATCCCGTGATGTTAAAACACCATCTGAAACAGTTAACAGCATCAGCAACCGTACTGCGTCCTCCTCCATCAACTGCCCAAGGGACGGTGCTGCGTCCTCCCCCACCATCAACTACTGAAGGGACGGGGCTGCGTCCTCCTCCTCCTCCAACTACCCAGGGAACGGGGCTGTGTCCTTCCCCATCAACTACTCGGGACGAGGCTTCGTCCTCCCCCATCAACTACTCAGGGGACAGGGCTGTGTCCTCCTTGACCAACTACCTAGGGAATGGGGCTGCGTCCTCCTCCTCCTCCATCAACTACTCAGGGGACGGGGCTGTGTCCTCCTCAACCAACTGCCATGGAGGAGGGGTCCAGGGAGGAAGTCCGCATACCAGTGGACCACAGCTCAGGGCCTTTGCACCCACAATCCTGACTGCCTGGATCAATCCAGGACTGGGTCCAAGCTCCAGTGTCCACACAGAGAAAACAGCCCGCCCTGCTACTCCCACAGGACCCTCACCCCAGGTCACAAGGGTCCCACAGACAGCACCCCAACTGTCCCCACCCTGCTACTGCCACAGTATCCTCACCGCAGGTCACAAGGGTCCCACAGCGCCCCAACTGTCCCCACCCTGCTACTCCCACAGGACCCTCACCCCAGGTCACAAGGGTCCCACTGACAGCGCCTCAACTGTGCCCACCCTGCTGTCGCTGCAGGACCCTCACCCACGGTGAGACTCAGTTGTTTTTCTCTGATCCCCATGTAGGAGGAACAGAGGCCGCCTCCGTGACCTGGGGCAGAGCAGGCTTCCCGCAGTAGCTGCCGACTGAGTGCTCCTTCAGCACAGCTTTACCTAAGGGCACACCCCTTCCCTGTGATTCAGAACGTGACCTCTGTGTCCTGGGGCAGGAGGTCCCTGCATCTCCCCGAGCCCGCGATCCCACAGTGCATCTCCCCGAGCCCATGATCCCGCAGTGCATCTCCCCGAGCCCACGATCCCGCAGTGCATCTCCCCGAGCCCACCATCCCACAGTGCATCTCCCCGAGCCCACCATCCCGCAGTGCATCTCTCCGAGCCCACCATCCCACAGTGCATCTCCCCGAGCCCGCAATCCCACAGTGCATCTCCCCGAGCCCGCGATCCCACAATGCATCTCCCCGAGCCCACCATCCCACAATGCATCTCCCCGAGCCCAGCATCCCACAATGCATCTCCCCGAGCCCGCGATCCCGCAGTGCATCTCCCCGAGCCCGCGATCCCGCAGTGCATCTCCATGAGTCCACGATCCCACAATGCATCTCCCCGTGCCCGCAATCCCACAATGCATCTCCCCGAGCCCACCATCCCACAGTCATCTCCCTGTGCCCACCATCCCACAATGCATCTCCCCAAGCCCGCGATCCCACAGTGCATCTTCCCGAGCCCACAACGCATTCCCGCAGCGGCGCCTTCCCGTCTCTCGCTGTGGGGGTCCCACTGTGGAGCCTGCGGCTCTTCCTCCTTCATCACGCTGGGTTCACACAGCTCTGCTATTTGGGGTACGGAACTGACCCCGCGAATATTCTGCAGTGAGCTCTCGGGCTCCTGTGTTTGGCAATATAGCAATGACCTGGGTACACAAACCAACCTTCCTGATGAAAACTGCCAAGAACCCTGGACAGAATAGTTGACAAACGTCTTCTAGACGGCGCCCACAGGCTGGCAGGAAAGGAGGACACCTCAGGCCACAGCTGCCTGGAAGGAAGAACCCGGGGAAGCCCGTGGAGCCTGAACAGGCTCTGCCTTCAGAAGCGTGGGCCGAGCGGGCTCACCCGAAATCTCTCACAGCCTTGCAGAGCTCTGGGGAAGAGGAGGCAAAACGCAGGGTCCTCCGGGGAAGCTCCCAGAACGCGTCACCTTCAGTGGGAAGAATGAGCTCCAAGTAAATCCCCAGCGCGCCTCCGGCCCCAGGAATGAAAGTAGCAGCCTTCACCTGGAGCTGCTGGTACGAGCTGGGCAGGGGGGAGTTCTCCCCCGAGAACTGACGGCTACAGCCGACTCTCCTGCAGGTTTGCAAACCAAACTCACGGTCACCAGGATGCTGCGAAAACCCTCAAACCGGCCGGGCTCGTGCCTGCAATCCTGGCGCTTTGAAAGGAGGCTGAGGGGGACAGACTGTCTGAGCTGAGGAGTTCAAGACCAGCCTGGGCAACATGGCAAAACTTCATCTCTACTAAAAAAAAAAAAAACAAAAAAAAAAAAACAGAAAACAAAAAACAAAAAGAGTATAAAAAAAATTAGCCGGGTGTGGTGGAGGGTGCCTGTACTCCCAGCTACTCGGGAGGCTGAGGCAGGAGAATCGCTTCAACACAGGAGGCGGAGGTTGCAGTGAGCTGAGATCGCACCACTGCACTCCAGCCTGGGCGACAGAGTGAGACTCTGTCTCAAAACAAAACAAACGATTAACCAGGTGTGGTGGCGCATGCCTGTACTCCCAGCTACTCGGGAGGCTGAGGCAGGAGAATCGCTTCAACACAGGAGGCGGAGGTTGCAGTGAGCTGAGATCGCACCACTGCACTCCAGCCTGGGCGACAGAGTGAGACTCTGTCTCAAAACAAAACAAACGATTAACCAGGTGTGGTGGCGCATGCCTGTAATCCCAGCTACTGGAGAGGCTGAGGCAGGAGAATCGCTTCAACACAGGAGGCGGAGGTTGCAGTGAGCTGAGATCGCACCACTGCACTCCAGCCTGGGCGACAGAGTGAGACTCTGTCTCAAAACAAAACAAACGATTAACCAGGTGTGGTGGCGCATGCCTGTAATCCCAGCTACTTGAGAGGCTGAGGCAGGAGAATCGCTTCAACACAGGAGGCGGAGGTTGCAGTGAGCTGAGATCGCACTACTGCACTCCAGCCTGGGCGACAGAGTGAGACTCTGTCTCAAAACAAAACAAACGATTAACCAGGTGTGGTGGCGCATGCCTGTACTCCCAGCTACTCGAGAGGCTGAGGCAGGAGAATCGCTTCAACACAGGAGGCGGAGGGTGCAGTGAGCTGAGATCGCACCACTGCACTCCAGCCTGGGCGACAGAGTGAGACTCTGTCTCAAAACAAAACAAACGATTAACCAGGTGTGGTGGCGCATGCCTGTACTCCCAGCTACTCGAGAGGCTGAGGCAGGAGAATCGCTTCAACACAGGAGGCGGAGGTTGCAGTGAGCTGAGATCGCACTACTGCACTCCAGCCTGGGCGACAGAGTGAGACTCTGTCTCAAAACAAAACAAACGATTAACCAGGTGTGGTGGCGCATGCCTGTAATCCCAGCTACTCGGGAGGCTGAGGCAGGAGAATCGCTTCAACACAGGAGGCGGAGGTTGCAGTGAGCTGAGATCGCACTACTGCACTCCAGCCTGGGCGACAGAGTGAGACTCTGTCTCAAAACAAAACAAACGATTAACCAGGTGTGGTGGCGCATGCCTGTAATCCCAGCTACTGGAGAGGCTGAGGCAGGAGAATCGCTTCAACACAGGAGGCGGAGGTTGCAGTGAGCTGAGATCGCACCACTGCACTCCAGCCTGGGCGACAGAGTGAGACTCTGTCTCAAAACAAAACAAACGATTAACCAGGTGTGGTGGCGCATGCCTGTAATCCCAGCTACTCGGGAGGCTGAGGCAGGAGAATCGCTTCAACACAGGAGGCGGAGGTTGCAGTGAGCTGAGATCGCACCACTGCACTCCAGCCTGGGCGACAGAGTGAGACTCTGTCTCAAAACAAAACAAACGATTAACCAGGTGTGGTGGCACATGCCTGTAATCCCAGCTACTTGAGAGGCTGAGGCAGGAGAATCGCTTCAACACAGGAGGCAGAGGTTGCAGTGAGCTGAGATCGCACTACTGCACTCCAGCCTGGGCGACAGAGTGAGACTCTGTCTCAAAACAAAACAAACGATTAACCAGGTGTGGTGGCGCATGCCTGTACTCCCAGCTACTCGAGAGGCTGAGGCAGGAGAATCGCTTCAACACAGGAGGCGGAGGGTGCAGTGAGCTGAGATCGCACTACTGCACTCCAGCCTGGGCGACAGAGTGAGACTCTGTCTCAAAACAAAACAAACGATTAACCAGGTGTGGTGGAGGGTGCCTGTACTCCCAGCTACTCGAGAGGCTGAGGCAGGAGAATCGCTTCAACACAGGAGGCGGAGGGTGCAGTGAGCTGAGATCGCACTACTGCACTCCAGCCTGGGCGACAGAGTGAGACTCTGTCTCAAAACAAAACAAACGATTAACCAGGTGTGGTGGAGGGTGCCTGTACTCCCAGCTACTCGGGAGGCTGAGGCAGGAGAATCGCTTCAACACAGGAGGCAGAGGTTGCAGTGAGCTGAGATCGCACCACTGCACTCCAGCCTGGGCGACAGAGTGAGACTCTGTCTCAAAACAAAACAAACGATTAACCAGGTGTGGTGGCGCATGCCTGTAATCCCAGCTACTTGAGAGGCTGAGGCAGGAGAATCGCTTCAACACAGGAGGCAGAGGTTGCAGTGAGCTGAGATCGCACTACTGCACTCCAGCCTGGGCGACAGAGTGAGACTCTGTCTCAAAACAAAACAAACGATTAACCAGGTGTGGTGGCGCATGCCTGTAATCCCAGCTACTTGAGAGGCTGAGGCAGGAGAATCGCTTAAACCCGGGAGGCGGAGGGTGCGGTGAGCTGAGGTCGCACCACTGTCCTCCAGCCTGGGTGACAGAGTGAGACTCTGTCTCAAAAAAAAAAAAGTGAGATGAATACTTGGACATTTTTAGCCCCAAATTTACAGAGCATGCACCCCATTAACAGACACTCTACGGGGCAAAAGCTGAGGAAATGCAGCAGGGAGAAGCCAAGAGCTCCCAAAGGGAAGGTTGGAATTGAAAGAAGGGATGAAGAGCAGGTCAGCGGTAATGAGTGGGAAAACCTCGGCAGCTGACCACATAAATCAGTGATAACAATGTATGTTCAATTTAAAAAACATAAATCAGTGAAAACAACGTATGTTCAATTAAAAAAAAAAAGTCAATACAACAGCCTGTCAGTGACATGCTGACTGGATGAGTGTGAGACGGTTTGTGAGTTGGAGGAAAAGATACTGATTAATATTGGGCTTTGAAAAATTTAGTCGACGTTCCTTTTTTTTTTCTTTATAGAGACGGGGTCTCGCTATGTTGTGCTGGCTGGTCTTGAACTCCTGGCCTCCAGCGATTCTCCTGCCTCAGCCTCCCAAGGCGCTGGGATCACAGGTGTGAGGCCCCGTGCCCGGCCAGCCATTGACATTTGTAGGATAAACAGTGAGCTAGTAGGAAGCGTGTACTCCAAACGAGAGAAAAGGCGACCAAGCTGAAAAAGAGCAGGAGACAGAGGTGCAGGATGAGACGGTCACAGTCCATCACACGGATGAGCAGGCAACATCGACCTCAATGCACCGAGTGCTCTAGTTACAAGACAAAGGTCTGACTGCAGAAAGAAAACAGCATTCACGTACATGGGAGACACAGAGGACAGAAAGACAGGAGATATATGTGACTTAAGGACCCAGAGGCTACACATTTTTTTTTGAGATGGAAAAAGAGCAGGCAGACAGTAGAGAAAGCTGGTGTCGCTGTATTAACATCCATGAAGTGACACAAGGTGATGGACAGACCTGGAGACAGACAGGCCACCAAGGAACGCTGAAGAGGTCAGTCAGGGGAAGACAGGCTGATGCTAACTTTATCCATGCCTGACAACGCAGCCTCGGCACTGATCAAGTAAACACCACTGGACACAAACTGAGCCCGCTAGGCAAGGCGGAGCCCACCCACCCCGGGCACAGACACAGGGAAGGCCGGGACCACCCACCCTGGGCACAGACACGGGGAAGGCCGGGACCACCCACCTTGGGCACTGACGGGGGGAAGGCCGGGATCACCCACCCCGGGCACTGACGGGGGGAAGGCCGGGACCACCCACCCCGGGCACAGACACGGGGAAGGCCGGGACCACCCACCTTGGGCACCGACGGGGGGAAGGCCGGGACCACCCACCTTGGGCACCGACACGGGGAAGGCCGGGACCACCCACCCCGGGCACCGACGGGGGGAAGGCCGGGACCACCCACCTTGGGCACCGACACGGGGAAGGCCGGGACCACCCACCCCGGGCACTGACGGGGGGGAAGGCCGGGACCACCCACCCCGGGCACCGACGGGGGGAAGGCCGGGACCACCCACCTTGGGCACCGACGGGGGGAAGGACGGGACCACCCACCCCGGGCACCGACGGGGGGAAGGCCGGGACCACCCACCCCGGGCACCGACCGGGGGAAGGCCGGGACCACCCACCCTGGGCACCGACGGGGGGAAGGCCGGGACCACCCACCCTGGGCACCGACCGGGGGAAGGCCGGGACCACCCACCCTGGGCACCGACGGGGGGAAGGCCGGGACCACCCACCTTGGGCACCGACGGGGGGAAGGCCGGGACCACCCACCTTGGGCACCGACACGGGGAAGGCCGGGACCACCCACCCCGGGCACTGACGGGGGGAAGGCCGGGACCACCCACCTTGGGCACCGACCGGGGGAAGGCCAGGACCACCCACCCTGGGCACCGACGGGGGGAAAGCCGGGACCACCCACCATGGGCACTAATAGACGAGAGATGGAACAAACAACACAACCACCCCATGCGGGCACAGAAGATTTACAAGCTTAATCTCATGGACAGAAATAGACTCGGCCCCAGCACAGCTGCAGAGCACACATTCTTTTCAACACACACAGCTCACTTGGGAACTGGCCACCTCTCGGGCTGAGCTGCAGGTCTCAGGGGGTTCTGAAGGAATCACAGGGACTGCTGCCCTGCCCCAAACGTAGCCGGTGAGGCCAGGCATCTACGGTAAACACAGAAGGAGCAAAAACAGCTGCATGTATGTGGAAGAAGAATTCTAAAGCCAGCCGCCTGTTCATTAAAAAGTTCAGACAAACCAGAGGGGCCTGTGGCGGCCAGGTCATCCACTTTAAATCCTCCTCAGTACGTGTACTTTAAAAAGAACTTCGTAAAGAGCCCGTCACCCAAAGCGCACTGATAAAGGCGACACCCTGACTCCCAACAAGCTATTTCTGTTGAGGGCACTGAGAAGGCAGCTCCCTGACTCATCACAATTCCAGAAGTCACAGATACATGTGTCGCCCTTCCAGAGTACACCCACAGTTTTGCAAAACACGTCCATATACGACCAAAAACAAAGGCTGAGCCTAACACTGAGGCTGCCTGTTTTTGCGTAGAAGTGCGTGCGCTTGATGGGTGCAGGTGAGTGTACCCCGAGAACACAGGCCACGTGCACCGTGACACATCCTCTCGCGACACCAGCCTCGGGCAGACCCCCGCATGTGCAGAGGGTGCGCACAGCAGGCAGGGCGCGGTGACCAGCAGAAATGACCCTCGCCCCCACGGCAGCAGGACCGGACACCACGATCAAAGCCACAGAGGAGGTGCCGGAGCAGCAGGGGGCCGGCGGAAGGGACGCTCAGTACGGGCTGCAACGCACAGCCGTGCCCCCAGGAGCCCCCGCTCTGCAGCGGCCCCCACTCTGCAGCGGGAGGCGGAAGCACGGGAGGCTGTGGTATGGAATCAGGGACGGGGGGTTTGGCCGGGACGCACACTCATGGATTCCAGCTGAGCCCCTCGCCCACCCAGATGACGGCCACCCCCTGGAAGGCAGGGCCTGCTGCAAGCTCTGAGCATTCTTCTCGGCCCAGCACTTGACTCCCAGGGACCCTCTGAGAGGGCTGGTAGAGGGCTGCCAGCTACACCTGCAAACCGCACGCTGGACGGCTAAACACAGGAGTCAAAAAGGTCGGTGTTTACACAGAGGAGCCGAACACGGAGATGAGAGGCCCCACGTGTGGGTTTAAAAATCCCCTCTCTAGCAAAGAGGGAGAACTGGTGTGGAGGGGTCAACACAGAAACGCAGCAGGTGCAGGTGTCTGAGTAGGCCAGAGCTCACGTGGGCTAACATTCACTCAGACACATGACTGCAGCCGAGCAACCGGGCCTCAACGGACGCTGAGAGACGTCGGCTGGGGCCTGCACCCACACCTGCAGCCCAGGCACTGGCGCCTGCAGCCACGGCTGCAGCGAGGCGTGAGTCTCCACAGAGCTCGGAAGGCTGGGCTGGGGGACGTGGGGATCATTCTGTCCACCAGCCAAGGGGTGACGGTGGATGCCGCGCAACACAGCGAGGGGAGGATCCGGCACCCTCCCTGCGTCCACAAGCCCCTGGCGGATGCTCCTGAGCTTGGTCTTCTGTGTGGACGTTCCCACCCGGGCTTCTGTTTCCCGTTAACCCCCCTTGCTGCAGCTCCCTGCCAGGTGGGGAACCCAAGCCCTGCCTTCTCCCTGCCACTGCCCAGGGAGTGGCATCCTGGGCAGCGTCCTGGCCAAACCAAAGGCTGCAAGGGTTTTGGTGACCACTGGCCTTGGGAGGGGAACGGCACGTGCCCTGGCGGTGAGAGCAGGAGGTGCGTCAGGGACGCCCAGAGCCCAGGCTGTCACCACGCTGAAGTCAGTTCCAAGTACAGCGGGGCTGCCGCGTAGGGGACGGCGCTTTCAGCCATGCGTGGTGCCGTGTAGGGTCTGTGCGTCCACCCGAAGGACCCCGTGGGGACGCCGGACAGTGTCTGTGTGACCAGGACAGGTGAAGAGGGGCGTCTGTGTGCTGAGTCAGTGTGTGGGGAGCGGGAGAGTCACTCCCCAGGCGGGGAGGGCCAGGCTAGGCAGCACAGCTGTCCTGGGCTGGGAACAAGGTCTGAGCTGTCCTGCTGTTGCCCGGGGACAGAAGGCCCGAGAATCCCTGGGCAGGAGGCGCAGGCAGTGGCTCCGGCAAGAAGAGCTCAGCCAAGCAGCTGCACGGCCCCACTCCAGGTACATGCTGGGTCCTACAGTGAGAGCATGAGCCGTGTAACACGCCATCGTCACACGGGAGCCTCCCCGGACCCACGGTGAGAGTACGTGTAACACGCCATCGTCACACGGGAGCCTCCCCGGACCCACGGCGTGAACGCATGCTGTTCCGTTCCCAAGGCCGGCGGTCGCTGAACGCCCCCACCCCCCGAGTTTGGTTTGTCAAGGATGCCGGTGACAGGGAAGTGGGCAGTGGCAGGGAGGAGGAGGAGCTTGGGTTCACCATCGGGGCAGGCAGCACCCGCCAGGGGGTTAGTGGGAACAGAAGCCCAGGTGGGACGTCGCACAGTCAGAAGATCAAGCTCAGGAGCACCCGCCAGGGGCTCGTGGGTGCGGCCAACGTTGGCCGTGGAAGGCTGTGCCCGTCAGAGGACCCCTGAAAACAGTACCGTGCTGCCCGGCCGGGAGCGTCCGAAGGCGGAGGTGCGGCACCCCAACACGTCCAGTGGCTCCAACACGGGTGCTCCCTGACAACCCTGAGGGTGTGTCCAAGTGGGGTGGACCCAACAGACAGAGCCCACACTCATGCGCGGAGTGAAAGCAGCCAGGAAACGTCCCCTTCTCCCCCAACACCACCCCCACAAATACCCCCAAATATGCCTGTAATTCCTCCACCACCCCTCAGACAACATGCATTTCACACGTCTGTCCTCACTCCCTAAAAACGTGGAAACCTATTTTCTGTAAAATGAAGCAAACTTCTGTAAACGGAATTCATGATTTCCCAGAAACTGACTTTTTAAAAATAAACAGTCCTCACAGGTGCATCGTCACCACAGCCCCCCACAGAAGAGCCAGGGCCCCACTGCAGGGCTGAAGGGCTTCCTCATCCAGCCACGTGCGAGCTAATCACCTCATTGACTCTGCGACCAGCGAGCCCGCACCGCCCAGCACCTCCCACCATCTAGAGCAAATCCCGCACGAGGCTGATCTCGCTCTTCGCAGGTTAAGAGGATTTTAAAGACACCAGCCTCGCCCTTACCCACTTACAGGCAAAATGTCAAAACCTGGAAGACAGAGGTCAAAAACTCCGAAGGAGTGCAAAAGTTGATGTGAGATCTTACAGAAAAAATTTCAATTAAAATATCAACAGAAAGAAGTGGGTCTTCCTCCCCCTTCAAGCAGGATGCCTTGGTTCACCTTGATGTTAGGCCACTAGTTCCAGACTCCTGGAACTGAGTTTGAAAAGCGCGTCTGATGTGCCACGTGGGTGTGAGGCGCCCGCCACGCACACCCTGTCTGGATGAAATTCGGATCAGATTCGGCCGCAGCCAAACCCTAAATTCTCAAATTATACTGGGATTGTCACAGGAAGACTCTTACACGTTTAAATCACATGGTACTCGTAAAACTAACTCATACAATATACACGGGGTACAGACACAAATTTTACTTCCCTGAGCACTTATGAGAACTGAGATTAAATTTCAAAGCCAGCTGGGGTGGAGGCTCACGCCCCTACTCCCAGCACTTTGGAAGGCCCAGGTGGGCGATCACCTGAGGTCAGGAGTTCAAGACCAGCCTGGCCAACATGGTGAAACCCCGTCCCTACTAAAAATGCAAAAATTAGCCCTACTCGGGAGGCTGAAGCAGGAAAATCACTTGAACCCAGGAGGTGGAGGTTGCAGTGAGCCGAGATAGCGCCGCTGCACTCCAGCCTGGGAAACAGAGAGGCTTCGTCTCAAATAAATAAATATAAATAAATAAATTTCAAAGCCACTGAGTTACTGAATAAAACCACGCTGCATAAATAGTCCGGTATGTGAGTGATATCTCAACCGACTCTTAAGTTAGCCAGTGGGAAGGAATGCTGGGTATTGCAATAACGCCGGGAAAGTTTCACCCACCCGACGCCTTTACGAAGGGTGAAGGAGTTTCCCGATGTTTATTACCAGCAATGCAAGGTATATTTAAATTAAAAATCTGTCTGCAGCGAACACTCCCAGGCGCTGACGGCTCTCACCCGCCTTGGTTGATCACAGCAAGGCGCGCACTCACAGCCAAAACTCCCGGGAAAGGAGCGAGTGCTCTTTTCAAAGCCCGGTTTTCCTAACAAGCTTGGCACCGCTTCCCACAGAGCAGCACCCGGTTTTCGGCGGCGTGCGGCCCGAGCGGGTCCCCTGCGCCCACAACTGGCCCTGTAAATCTGGCGTTTGGGCCCCGCCACGCAACAACGGGTGCACGGCCAGCAGCGGCGAGCGGGGGCCCACGCGGGGCCGGGAGGGCAGGGCTCGCCGGGCCGGGAGGCCTCGCCCGGTGTCGGGCAGCCGCGGGGCGCGCGGGGCTGACCTGCTGGAAGGCCTTCAGCCGCTTCTTGAACCGAGAGGGCAGCACGAAGTCGCAGCCGCGGGCCAGTGAGGCCAGCTCCTGGCGCAGGTCGGGGTCCTGGCGCAGCGAGCGCTCGCGGAGTCGCATGCCGCCGGCGCGCAGGGCTCTCCGCGGGCCGGGCCGGGCGCCGCGCTCTCGGGGCAGGGCCGGGCCGGGGCCGGCGGGGCGCTGCAGGCGTGGCCCGGGCTCAGCGCGCTCCATGCGTCGCCCGCCAGGCGCTCTGGGGCCGGGGCCCGCGCCGCGCGCATTCCTCAGGCTGAGGAGGGCGCATGGCGCCGGGGGTGGGGGCGGCCGCCTCTCCCGACCCGCGACTGTGCAGACCCGGCTGCTCCCGGCGCTGCTCTCCTCTCCTCCTTCTCCGCTCCCTGCACTGCCCTCCGCTCCCTCCGGTCCTCTTCTCTCCTCTCCCCGTTCGCTCCGGGCTGGGCCGTCCGGCCGGGCAAGGGGGCGCTTTCTGCACCGCGGCAGCCGTCACGTGGCTCGCCCTGGAGCGCGCATCAACAGGTCCCCGAGAGGAGAGCCTGGGCGGAACGCGCATCAACAGGTCCCCGAGAGGAGAGCCTGGGCGGAACGCGCATCAACAGGTCCCCGAGAAGAGAGCCTGGGGACGGCCTCGGGGACCCAGGCGAAGGCGCTCCCCGCGAGAAGTGAGGTCCCCCCCCTCCACGACAACACCAGAGCTGGCTGCAGGCTCGGTGCCGACTCCGGCTTGCCCCTCCAGAGCACAGGGCACGCCAGGTGCAGCTGCGCCTCCACAAACACGCACGGCAGCCCAGACATCCCGGCAGCCCGGCATCAAAGCGCGCCGGCATCTCCGCCCCTCCCCAAACTTCAGGAGTTTCTAGAATACAGCTAAGCTGCAGTGGGCATCCAGGATCTCGTCTTCTCTGCCACTGCTCACTGTGATAACTGCGCTTGTTTGCAATCGTATTTAGAACAAGAAAAGAGGGGCGGTGGAAAAGGGGGACGGGCAACTTTAAATGAGGGTGAGCTGACATTCCGGGGGCCTGCACCTCGATCCCACCGGGAAGGAGACAGGATACCTTCGGGCTGAGGGTCAGAAACTGGCCACATCCCTGCCAGGCTGAACGCTGTCAGCAGAAAGCCTCCCGGGTCCCCGATCAGGAAGGTCCTGCGTGACCGCCTGCATCTGTTACAGTCAATAAACCTCCTTGGACGGGTCACTATCACCCCGAGTCAACAGCGTGCACTGGGCTCTCCCGCTGCCGCACGCTCTGTTGAGTCTGGAAAAACGCAGGATGACACGGATCTACCACTGTGGGGTCACGCAGAGGAGTTTCCCTGCCCTGAAAAACGTCTGTGTGGCACTGACGCACCCAACCCCCGCAAGCCCCGATCTGTTTCCTGTCTCCATCGTTTTCCTTTTTCCGAGTGTCCTAGACTTGGAACCAGAAGTCTGCAGCCATCTCAGACTGGCCTTTTCTTCTCCTGCAACCTTCCACACCACCTCTGACGCCCACCACAGCCCCCCACCCGCAAGGCCCCTTCCAACTCTTCTTAGGGGTACGCCCCTCTCCACTTCCTTCTCTTCCACCTCCTTCCCTTCTCCAGCCATCCTCGGATCCCTCCATCCTTCTCACTTCCTTACTGTCCTTGAGGATTCAGAAGTCGGCCTCTGACCCCCGGTAAGTCTCCAAAGGGAAGCTTTAAGACAGCACCAGAGGGAATGTGCTCAAACCACCAGGAGACGATTTAAACAAGTGCACCCAGTAACCCACGATGCGGGGCGCAAACTCACAGGGCAGAGGTGCCGCCCAGTCACCCACGATGCGGGGCGCAAACTCACAGGGCAGAGGTGCTGCCCAGTCACCCACGATGCAGGATGCAAACTCACAGGGCAGAGGTGCCGCCCAGTCACCCACGATGCAGGATGCAAACTCACAGGGCAGAGGTGCGGCCCAGTAACCCATGATGTGGGGCACAAACTCACAGGGCAGAGGTGCCGTCCCGTCACCCACGATGCGGGGCGCAAACTCACAGGACAGAGGTGCCGCCCAGTCACCCACGATGTGGGGCGCAAACTCACAGGGCAGAGGTGCCGCCCCTTCAGTTCATATCAGCACTACACACGGACGGCCTCCCAAACGCAGCTAGGGGAACCAGATTGGGAGCCAACCTCCTGTGATCTCCCTCCGAAAGTCAAAGATCAAACCCAAAATGCGGGGGAAGCGAGCCAACGGGCGCGATCCTCACACTCAGGCAACATGCCCTGTCCTGCCACGCCAGGTGACACACGCCCTGTCCTGCCACGGCGGGTGACACACACCCCTGTGGACTTTACTGCCAGGTTTCCTCTTTCCGTACAAGACTTTTGGAACACAGCCAGGCACAGTGGCTCATGCCTGTAATCCCAGCACTTTGGGAGGTCAAGGCAGGCAGATCATGAGGTCAGGAGTTCGAGACCAGCCAGGCCAACATGGTGAAACCCTGTCTCTACTAAAAATACAAAATTAGCTGGGCATGGTGGCGGGTGCCTGTCATCCCAGCTACTTGGGAGGCTGAGGGAGAAGAATCGCTTGAACTCAGAAGGCAGAGGTTGCAGTGAGCCGAGATTGCGCCACTGCACTGCAGCCTGGGGGACAAGAGCGAGACTTCGTCTCAAAAAGGAAAAAAAAAAAAAAAAGACTTTTGGAAAACAGCCTCAAAATCCTGAAGTGCACACATAGGCAGAGATTTAGACTCTGACCTGGAGCCCTCGAACCACCTCTGGATGCAGTCCCACTGCCCCCCTGGAGCCCTTGCGTCCTGTCCCGATGCAGAACCCGCACCACCCGCCCCCAGTGCAGCCACAGGGCTGTCTACACCGGATGGGGGAGGGACAGGGCTGTCCACACTCGACAGAGCCCCCATGGGGCCATCCACTACCGTGTACAGGGACGGGCCGTCCACAGTGGGGCCGCCATGGGGCTGTCTATACACTACTGTATGCAGGGACGGGCCGTCCACACCCAGTGGGGCCGCCATGGGGCTGTCTATACACTACTGTATGCAGGGACGGGCCGTCCACACCCAGTGGGGCCGCCATGGGGCTGTCTATACACTACTGTATGCAGGGACGGGCCATCCACACCCAGTGGGGCCACCATGGGGCTGTCTATACACTACTGTGTACAGGGACGGGCCGTCCACACCCAGTGGGGCCACCATGGGGCTGTCTATACACTACTGTGTACAGGGACGGGCCGTCCACAGTGGGGCCGCCATGGGGCTGTCTATACACTACTGTATACAGGGACGGGCCGTCCACAGTGGGGCCGCCATGGGGCTGTCTATACACTACTGTATGCAGGGACGGGCCGTCCACACCCAGTGGGGCCGCCATGGGGCTGTCTATACACTACTGTATGCAGGGACGGGCCGTCCACACCCAGTGGGGCCGCCATGGGGCTGTCTATACACTACTGTATGCAGGGACGGGCCGTCCACACCCAGTGGGGCCGCCATGGGGCTGTCTATACACTACTGTGTACAGGGACGGGCCGTCCACACCCAGTGGGGCCACCATGGGGCTGTCTATACACTACTGTATGCAGGGACGGGCCGTCCACAGTGGGGCCGCCATGGGGCTGTCTATACACTACTGTGTACAGGGACGGGCCGTCCACACCCAGTGGGGCCACCATGGGGCTGTCTATACACTACTGTATGCAGGGACGGGCCGTCCACAGTGGGGCCGCCATGGGGCTGTCTATACACTACTGTGTACAGGGACGGGCCGTCCACACCCAGTGGGGCCGCCATGGGGCTGTCTATACACTACTGTATGCAGGGACGGGCCGTCCACAGTGGGGCCGCCATGGGGCTGTCTATACACTACTGTGTACAGGGACGGGCCGTCCACACCCAGTGGGGCCACCATGGGGCTGTCTATACACTACTGTGTACAGGGACGGGCCGTCCACAGTGGGGCCGCCATGGGGCTGTCTATACACTACTGTGTACAGGGACGGGCCGTCCACACCCAGTGGGGCCACCATGGGGCTGTCTATACACTACTGTGTACAGGGACGGGCCGTCTACAGTGGGGCCGCCATGGGGCTGTCTATACACTACTGTATGCAGGGACGGGCCGTCCACACCCAGTGGGGCCGCCATGGGGCTGTCTATACACTACTGTGTACAGGGACGGGCCGTCCACACCCAGTGGGGCCACCATGGGGCTGTCTATACACTACTGTGTACAGGGACGGGCCGTCCACACCCAGTGGGGCCACCATGGGGCTGTCTATACACTACTGTATGCAGGGACGGGCCGTCCACACCCAGTGGGTCCGCCGTGGGGCTGTCTATACACTACTGTGTACAGGGACGGGCCATCCACACCCAGTGGGGCCACCATGGGGCTGTCTATACACTACTGTATGCAGGGACGGGCCGTCTACAGTGGGGCCGCCATGGGGCTGTCTATACACTACTGTGTACAGGGACGGGCCGTCCACACTTGACAGGACCACCACAGGGCTGTCTATACACTACTGTGTACAGGGACGGGGCCGTCATAGCATTGTTTTTGCACCACAGGCCAGCACGGAATCTGCGAGGCCTGTTTTCAGCCTGTTCCCCCCAAATTCCTACTCTGAAGAGACAACATTGCCATCTGGGCCGATGAAGCCCCTCACGGCACCCGAATCTCCACCGTCCCTCTGCTGTCGGGACACAATCTTACCATCAACCTCTAAAGGCTCCTAAAATGCCCAGAAGACCTTTATGCAAAATTTTCATAAAAATCTCTTCACTTTTCATTCTCACTAAACATACATTTGTTCAGACGGCTTGTTTTAGGATAAAAATGTGTCTTCCATGAGCAAACATAATGGCTTTTCTGAAATCCCAGATTTGAAAGGCTTACGAAGGCGACCTGCCCTTTGTGAGAAAAAGTTTTTCTGAACATCCAAAGCTAAAAGCATAGCTAGTAACAGGCAAGCCTATGAGACAGGAAGATGGCCCAGAATCCTGTCCTCACCCTGCAGGTGCCGTCTGCAGAGCACGGCTTCCTCCCTGTTTCAAAGGCCCTGAGAGGACAGGCTCCAGCGGATTCAAAACCCGTCCACCTCATCTCAGGAAACGGCATGGTTCTCTCTGTCAACAGAAGGGGAGGGAGGGATGAAGCTCTTTACACAGTTTCCATGGTTGCAGATTCTCGGAGGTTGCAAGAAGGGTTTTCGACACCTTCCTTCCTCCTCACAACGAGACTCTCATCGGTGCCCACTATGAAAACGTGAATAGGTCGTTGTTACGAAGGCAGTGAGAACTGAACGCAGACAGGCACGCACCTGTACAAAAGCTACAGTCCCTGGGCAAGCTCAAGGCTCCCGCACGAAACCTTCAGAAACCCTGAGCTCCTGCCCTGAGGGTTCTAGGTGCTTTTGTCTTACAACATGTTTGTTAAGAACTTCTAATGAAACGTTAAGATAACCACACCTGTATGTACATGCACCTGTGTGTGTGTATGCACCTGTGTGTTTGTGTGTATGCACCTGTGTGTGTGTATGCACCTACGTGTGTGTGTATGCACCTGTGTGTGCACCTGTGTGTATGCACCTATGTGTGTGTATGCACCTATGTGTGCATGTACCTGTGTGTATGGACCTATGTATGTGTGTATGCGTGTGTATGCACCTGTGTATGCACCTGTGTGTATGCACCTATGTGTGTGTGTGTGTATGGACCTATGTATGTGTATGCACCTGTGTGTATGTATCTGTGTGTATGGACCTATGTATGTGTGTATGCGTGTGTATGCACCTGTTATGCACCTGTGTGTATGCACCTATGTGTGTATGTACCTGTGTATGCACCTATGTGTGTATGCACCTATGTGTGTATGCACCTGTGTTTGTGCATATGCACCTGTGTGTGTGTATGCACCTGTGTGTTTGTGTGTATGCACCTGTGTGTGTGATGCACACGCACGCCCGTGTTTATCTCCAAATACCCTGTTCTAATGTTCTAGAATGCTGGCACCCGGTCTGATAAAAATCACAGGTTAGGTGGACACCAAAACTGAGTAGCTTCCAGAAATTAGAGAAGAACTAAATAAACAGATAGAAACTTAATCAAGGAGGTGCAAGAGGTGTACCCGGGGAAGTACACAACGTTGCTGAACAAAACCTAAATGAATGGAAAGTCCTTTGTTTGTGGATTGGAAAATACTGTTAAGGTATCAATTATCCTAAATTGATCCACAGATTCAAAGCAATCCCAATCAAAATTCCAACAGGCTTTTCTTGCTGGAAAGCAATTTTTAAAGAACAGGCTTGGACTCACAGTATCTGCTTTCAAAATTTGCTAGAAAGTTACACTAATCTGGAAAGTGCCATGAAGGTGAGGGGATGCACATACAGCAATGGGATGGAAATAATAATAAAACAGACGTACGTACTCAACTGACTTTCAACAACACAATTCCACGGGGGGAGAAAAGACTGTTCAATATACGGTGCTGGGGTCATCCAGATACCTCACCTCATACCACGCAGAAAAACTGACCTGAACTGGATCACAGGCCGAAACGCAAACCTAAAACCACACTGCTTTCTCAAGATAAATAGGAGAAAATATTTGACACCTTGTGGTATGCAAACATTTTGTAATAAGACACAAAAAATAAGAGTCATAAAAGAAAAAAGTTGAAAAACTAAACACTTTTGCTCTTTGAGACACTGAAGAAAACAAAAAGCAAGCCAGACTCAAGAGACATATGCACACACCACATTGTCTTACCAAGGACTTGCCAACAGTTGTATGTAAAGAGCTCTCGCAACTCAGTGATAACATAACCCAATTTAAAAAGCAAACACACGACCTGAACAGACGCTCGACAGTGGGAACCACATGAATGGCAAATAAGCACCTGAAAATTCCTCGGCGTCACCAGGCCGCAGGGAAATGCAATCAAAATCGTGCAGTACTGGCCGGGTGTGGTTGCCCTCGTCTGTCATCCCAGCACTCTGGGAGGCTGGGGCGGGTGGATCACCTGAGGTCAGGAGTTCAAGACCAGCCTGACCAACATAGTGAAACCCCATCTCTACTAAAAATACAAAACTAGCCGGGCGTGGTGGCGGGTGCCTGTAATCCCAGCTACTCGGGAGGCTGAGGCAGGAGACTCACTTGAACTGCAGGAGGTGGAGGTTGTAGTGAGCCGAAATTGCGTCATTGCACTGCAGCCTGGGCAACAAGAGTGAAACTCCATCTCAAAAAAAAAAAAAAAAAAAAAAAAAGCAGCTCATCCACATGAGGTTCTTAATTCCCCTTGTAAGAACTTACTTTAAAGATGCATTTAGGGTCCCCCCTAGCAGAAGCACCCTGGCTTGCAGCATCAGCCCATCGATACTGGCGTTTTCTTTCTTTTTTTTTTTTTTAGAGACAGAGTCTCACTTTGTTGCCCCGGCGGGAGTGCACTGGCACAAACATAGCTCACTGCAGCCTCGAACTCCTGGGATCTTCCTGCCTCAGCCTCACAAGCAGCTGAGACTTCAGGCATGAACCACCATGCCTGGCTGATTTTACTATTTTACAGAGATGGGGGAGTCTCGCTATGTTGCCCAGGCTGGGCTCAAACTCCTGGCCTCAAGGGATCCTCCCTCCTTGGCCTCCCAAAGTGCTGGGATTGAGCCACTGCACCCGGCCAATGCTCACATTTTCTAATTTGTACCAGTTTCTCTTCCCCAAAGACGGGAAGGAGCCACTGCAAGCACCCCTTTCAAACACAGAATGCAATCTCTCTGCTCAGTAACGATGAAGGCGTAGGTAACGTAAAACAATGCCGTTCCTTTCACCCTTGGCTGGGGAGTTCAATGGACCTAGCGTGAACCCTCCTGACAGCTCATACTCCATTCTGTACATGTGTGGGTGAGAAAAAGCTGCTTTATTTATGAAAATCTCTTCCTCTGACCCCAGCATCGCCCCTCCCCAGCCAGAGTTTGTAGCATGGAACTGCATCCTTCACTGTTAACGTGGCCTCGCGTATTCTGTATATGGGATGGACAGGAACAAGCTCATCTTTTTTTTTTTTTTTTTTTTTTTGAGACAGAGTCTTGCTCTGTCACCCAGGCTGGAGTGCAGTGGCGCGATCTCAGCTCACTGCAAGCTCTGCCACCCAGGTTCATGCCATTCTCCTGCCTCAGCCTCCGGAGTAGCTGGGACTACAGGCACCCGCCACCACGCCCGGCTAATTTTCTGTATCTTTAGTAGAGACAGGGTTTCACTGTGTTAGCCAAGATGGTCTCTATCTCCTGACCTTGTGATCCGCCCGCCTCGGCCTCCCAAAGTGCTGGGATCACAGGCATGAGCCACCGTGCCCAGCCCAAGCTCATCTTTTTTGTCCCAATGAACAGACACATCTTTCTAAGTTATTCACTTCTTGAGATTCAGCTGAAGTAAGCCATAGGTTCCAAACACGTAGACATGTTTAAGGTAAACTTTTAGTCCCAAACAAGGTCAGTCACTGCTTTTTGAAAATTCTTGCCATCTCCTAAGTGCAGAATCCTGCACCCTGCACACCCTGGCCGCCATGCCCACGGTCCACACGCATCCTTCCTTCTGCTTCTCCGGTCAGACCACTCCAGTCCCTCAACGTGACCTGAACATCTCATCTTTTTTTTTCTTTTTTTTTTTTTTTTGAGACAGAGTGTCTCACTCTTGTCACCCAGGCTGGAGTGCAGTGGCACAATTTCAGCTCACTGCAATCTCCGCCTCCCAGGTTCAAGTGATTCTCCTGCCTCAGCCTCCAGAGTAGCTGGGATTACAGGTGCCCACCACCACACCCAGCTAATTTTTGTATTTTTAGTAGAGACAGGGTTTCACCATGTTGGCCAGGTTGATCTCGAACTCCTGACCTCAGGTGATCCGTCCACCTCAGCCTCCCAAAGTGCTAGGAATTCAGGTGTGAGCGACTGAGCCTGGTCTCATTTTCACCGCCTCCCTTGGTCCTGCCCCCTATACCCAATAAACTCAGTGCATTTCTCAAGTTCCACTACTCACTTCCTCCTCAAAACTTTCTCCAGGAGAGAAATGATGTCTCCCTGCTTTGAACACCTTTGGAACTTAATTTCCACTTGTTAGAGGCTTCTTGCCTGATTTACAGAATATATCATCCTCTCACATGCACCCAAATGGCCTCGTTTGCACAGACCTGACCTTCCGTCAATATTCCCAGCCCTAGGAGAATTCATGCAAAGTCACAATAGTCCCAGCCCTAGGAGAATTCTTGCAAAGTCACACAATTCAAGCATTTACCTTAGCGTCTGGCTGTCATTCAACACGTTTAAGGACAAAATGGCAGCTCATTAGCGATCCCACTGAGAAAGCAAGTCATGGAGGGGAACCATCATTACTAGCACATGCTTCTTGAGTCCTGGCCCTCCTCTCAACCTCCTCAGTAAATGAGGGATTTGGGCAAGAGTTCCTAAGGTGCTTCAGGTTTTGCAGCTCACTGGGAAAGTGCACTGGGCCGGAGCTCAAGAGATGCGTCCTGGGGCCCTGAGTCCCCTCCTGGATCGGGATCTGGAGGGCCTGAGCCAGACGGTCTCCAAGCTGCCTCTAGCTCTAGTTCACATTTTCATCGACACGTACTTTTGGAAAATGTTCTAGATCCATCAGAAGACATCGGACAACCACCGGTAATTTAGAACGCAAGGAGCTCACCTCAGATTGCCACCCACCTCTCACTCAGCAAGTAGAGAGGCTGGTCCATTTTGGCTGGAAAACTGTGGTGCTACGTAAATATCACTTTGTGACATGCTTATTAGTGCTGCTGATGGAAAGCTGGTGTTCAGCTGAAAATTTTCAAATGGTATAAACAAGTTCCGACGGAACATTCTGAATATTTCAGGCTTCCGTAGTATTCTCGGGACACCAGACGCACCAGCCATACGTGTTTCTATAACATCTGGAAGCAATGTTTTATCGCTTTAAACTGCATAGTATAAAACGACAGAAAGCATTTTTAAAAATACACGGCTGTCGGCGGGCACGGTGGCTCACACCTGTAATCCCAAAACTTTGGGAGGCCGAGGCGGGCGGATCACGAGGTCAGGAGATCAAGACCATCCCGGCTAACACGGTGAAACCCCGTCTCTACTAAAAATACAAAAAAATTAGCCGGGCGTGGTGGCGGGCGCCTGTAGTCCCAGCTACTTGGGAGGCTGAGGCAGGAGAATGGCGTGAACCCGGGAGGCGGAGCTTGCAGTGAGCCGAGATCGCGCCACTGCACTCCAGCCTGGGGGACAGAGCGAGACTCCGTCTCAAAAAAAAAAAAAAAAAAAAAAAAAAAAAACCAAAAAAACAAAAAAACAACTAAGTTCCCAGTCATGACTGGATGGGAGTTTGGACACACCTTATTATACCCCTCCTGCTTTGGCAGTTTAAACACAACCAACCAGCAAAAAGGTTAAAATCAACATCGTAAGACTGACAGAACAGACTCTGTGGCAAACAAGACCAAGGGCCACCTGAGGTGAGGGTTAAGTCACACACCGCCTACACTTAAAGAATAAACTACAGTTCCAACTGCCAAAGCATTTCTTTTTCTCCAGCAGCTAAATGTCCTTTTAGGTTATTCACTAGAGACCTCTGCAGAAACTCGTTTTTGAGATTCAAGAAGTAAATAAAGGATGTTTTTCTTTTTCTCTATTGCTTATCTTGGCCTCAAGCTCGCGCACGCAAGAAGACTCTCTCTCTCTCTCTCTCTCTATATATATATATATACTTTTTTTTTTTTTTTGAGACAGGGCCTTCCTCTGTTGCTCAGGCTGGTGAGCAGTGGTGCAATCTCAGCTCACAGTAATCTCCGACTCCCAGCTTCAAGCATTTCTCCTGCCTCAGCCTCCTGAGTAGCTGAGACTTCAGGTGCGCCACCACGCCTGGCTAATTTGTGTATTTTTAGCAGAGATGGGGTTTCGCCATGTTGCCCAGGCTGGTCTCGAACTCCTGAACTCAAGTGATCTGCCTGCCTCCAACTCCCAAATGCTGGAATCACAGGCGTGAGTCACCATGCCTGACCAATATAAACAATATTAAAACACCTGCAGCTTCCTGTCAGATCCTGATGAACAGACCCCTCTGTTCCACCAGCCGTAACTACAGCTTTGACTGGGAAAAGACTGATTCCAGGCCAGGTGTGGTGGCTCACGCCTGTCATCCCAGCACTTTGAGAGGCTGAGGCGGGTGGATCACCTGAGGTCAGGAGTTTGAGACCAGTCTAGCCAACAAGGTGAAAGCCTGCCTCTACTAAAAATACAAAAATTAGCCGGGGGTGGTGGTGTGCGCCTGTAATCACAGCTACTCGGGAGGCTGAGGGAGGAGAATCGCTTGAACCCGGGAGGCGGAGGTTGCAGTGAGCTGAGATTGCACCATTGCATCTCAGCCTGGGTGAGAGTGAGAATCTGTCTCAAAAAAAAAAAAAAAAAAAAAAAACTGATTGCAATCACTTTATCCTGGTAACTACTCACCACGGACTGGTTCTGGCCGGTTGACAGAGGCTGCAGAGTTGCTTCACCTTTTGACCTAGGGGGCCTAACCATAATGCATTTAAATGTTAAGTCTCCGCTCCAAGGTGAACTCGGGAGTAGGTAACATGCATGTTTGTTCAATACCCATGCGTCAGGACACCCTTGGTGAATATCCATAGCTCTTCCTATAACTTCTTGAATATATACACTTGGCCAACCCACTCAGCATAAATTCCCGTCTCATCTTTTCTTCCCTCCAAGTGCTTGTTTTTAGTTTTCTTTTTTTTTTTTTTTTTTTTTTTTTTGAGATGGAGTCTTGCTCTGGTGCCCAGGCTGGAGTGCAGCCTCTGCCTCCTGGGTTCCAGTGATTCTCCTGCCTCAGCCTCCCGGGTAGCTGAGATTACAGGTACATTAGCCAGAGGCTGCGCTTCTCACCTGCGGTGTATAATCACCTTCTATGAAATAAATGGCGTTTCTTCTAAGAAATACAGTGGGATTTTGGGAGGCCGAAGCGGGAGGATTGCTTGGACCCAGGAATTCCAGAGCACTCTAGGTAACATAGCAAGACCTCGTCTCTGCAAAAATAAATAAATAAATAAATAAACAAAAATTAGCCTGGCGTGATGGTGCACGCCTGTAATCCCAGCTACTGGGGAGGCTGAGGCAGGAAGTCCAACTGTGTTTGCGCCACTGCACTCCAGCCTAGGAGACAGAGCAAGACCCTGTCTCCAAAGAATTGTAAAATAAATAAAAAACGGACCAGGCGCAGTGACTCACGTCTGAAATCCCAGCACTTTGGGAGGCCAAGGCGGGAGGATCACTTGAGGTCAGGAGTTCGAGACCAGCCTGGCCCACATGGGGGAAACCCAGTCTCTACTAAAAATACAACATCAGCCAGGCGTGGTGGCACGTGCCTGTAAGTCCCAGCTCCTCGGGAGCCTGAGGCAGGAGAATCGCTTGAACCTGGGAGGCAGAGGTTGCAGTGAGCCAAGATCGCGCCATCGTACTCCAGCCTGGGCAACAGAGCAAAACTCTGTCTCAAAATTAAAACAAATTAAAATAATAAAATAAAATAAAATAGGAAGCCTTTCTACCTTTATAAATTGTGTGATTTTTAGGTTAACAACTGTCAATGACGGAATGTTCAGTACGTGGGACTTTCTTGTCTGTATGTGTGTGGTGGGGGGGGTCGGGGCGGGGAACAGACTCAATATGAAACCGTTTTGGGGTCTGACGCTCGCCCACCAGCCTCCATCGCGCAGCCACACGCCCACTATGCGACCAGAGCCACCTGCGCAGTTGTTAGCAGAAGGAAGAGTAACTTACTACTCTCGTCCCTGCGGATCTACGGGTGCCTCGAACGTGGGGCGCGTTCCTGGGGCTGGAGGCGGCGCCCAGGGGCAGCGCAGGGCCCGGCCCGGGGGTTCCCGGGGGTTCGAGCCCGCTGGGCCGGGGGGCGGCGAGCGGGGCTGTGGGCCAGGCCCCGGGCTGCTCCCCGTCCCCCGGGGTCGGCTGGTCCCGCCCGGGCGCCTTGATCCGGCGCAGGCAGTCCTGCAGCATCCGCTGCGTGCTGGCCTCGCTGAGCCAGTACAGGAACAGCTCGTCCACCTTCATCTTCAGGACCGGCTGCAGCACTTTGCCGGGCGGCATGGCGGGGGCTGGGCCCGCGGCGCCCCCGGACGCCCGCGCCCCGCCCCGCCCCGGGGGCTTCGGTCCGCCCCGGACCGACCTCGGTGATGCGAGCACGGCCCGCTGAGGGGGCGCGGCGCAGGGAACAGGGCCCGCGCCTCGGGAACTGCGCGGACTCGCGGGGCGCGGGGACCGAGGAGGGGGCGCGGTCCGGCCCGCGCTGCTCAGGGCAGCTTCAAAACGGGCGCGCCGGCCGCGCTCCCAAACAAGGGCGCCCGCGTTCACGTCACTGCGTCGCGTCATCGCGACGATGTCATCACGAGGCGACGCCGCCGCTAGCCACGCGCGCCCCGCGGCCCTCGGAGCTTTTGCAGGAGGCTTTGGTGGGGCCGAGCGGCTGCGGTGAGGACGAGGGAGGGGCTGTGGCGGCCGTACCGCCCGAGCTCTTTCTGCGTTTAGGATTTTTAGAGGCGCGGCCCATGGCGGCGTGGCAGTCCTAGAGCTGCGGAAATGCGAGCATGCGCAATGCGTGCCTGCCAGAGCGAGGAGAGGGTGGAACCTCCGCATGGAGCATGCGCCGTGCATAGCGGTGGAGGAGCGGAGTTCGGGAGGCCGGTCGGGTGAGCGTGCGCAATGGCTGCCCGCGGGGCGCAAGCCAGAGGCTGGGAGGTGTGTGAGCGGGTGGGGCTGGAGGACGGGAGTGCGCCTGCGCAGTGGGAGGCACCGGGAACGAGCGAGCATGCGGGGTGCGCGCCCGCCGAGCTCGGGAGCGAGCGTGCGTCCTACGGGAGCGCGCGAGGAAAAGATCAAACTTTTCAATAACAGCGGGCTACCTGGGACCCAAAGGGCCCCGTTTACTTTAGCTTTGCTTATCAAACAGTAGAGACAGGTTGGAGGAGTTGGACCCCTTTAAACGTTGGTGTTCAGGGATGAGCGTGAAGTGCGTTGAAAATTGCAAAAATCATCCACGTCCAGGGAGGTGACATTAGTTAAATAACTTTACCCAATGGTCGTTTTTGTTTCTGCTTTTAACAGTATCCATAAAAACACTGCATTATCATCTGTCTGGCACACATGCACCTGTTTCCTTTACATCTTGCCCCGCTTTTTATTCATTTTTTATCAAAATAGGGTTTCACCTGGTGTTGCACCCTGTTAGAGAGTAATTTCAAGGTCTTTTATGAGCCAGGTTCTCCTACTTCTGAGCTGCATAAATCGAGCCAGACTCAATAAGTAACCCTTGGCCGGGCGCGGTGGCTCAAGTCTGTAATCCCGGCACTTTGGGAGGCTGAAGCGGGCAGATCACGAAGTCAGGAGTTCGAGACCAGCCTGGCCAGCATAGTGAAACCGCCCCCACCATCTCTACTAAAAATAGAAAAATTAGCCGGGCATAGTAGCGTGTGCCTGTAGTCCCAGCTACTCGGGAGGCTGTGGCGGGAGAATTGCTTGAACCCAGGAGGTGGAGGTTGCAGTGAGCTGAGATCACACCATTGCACTCCAGCCTGGGCGACAGAGCCAGACTTTGTCTCAAAAAAAAAAAAAATAACTCTTTTTTTAGTTTTATTTTTTTTTTGAGTTGGAGTCTCGCTCTGTCGCCCAGGCTGGAGTGCGATGGCAAGATCTCAGCTCACTGTAACCTCCGCCTCCCGGGTTCAAGGGATCCTCCTGCCTCAGCCTCCCGAGTAGCTGGGATTACAGGCGCCCGCCACCACGCCTGGCTAATTTTTGTATTTTTGGTAGAGACAGGGTTTCACCGTATTAGCCAGGATGGTCTCGAACTCCTGACCTCAAGTGATCCACCCGCCTCGGCCTCCCAAAGTGCTGGGATTACAGGCGTGAGCTACCACGCCCGGCCTAAATAACTCTTTTTGTTCGTATGAGACAGGGTTTTGCTCCGTCACCCAGGCTGCGATCTTAGCTGAGTGCAGCCTTGATCTCCTGGCTCAAGCGATCCTCCCACCTCAGCCTTCCAAGCAGCTGGGACAACAGGCATGCGCCACCATGCCTGGCTCATTTTTAATTTTATTGTTTATAGAGACGAGGTGTTGCTGGTCTCACACTCCTGGCCTCAAGCAATCTTCCTGCCTTTGCCTCTGTCTCTGCCTCCCAAAGCGTTGGGATTACAGGCGTGAGCCACCGCACCCGATTTAAATCACTCATAAACGATAGTTTTGTGTTGTGTACATAATGATTTGAATTTCAGTTTGTGTTTCGTGATTGGATATAAAAATCCGAGTGTACTTGGTCAGAAGAGCGCCATCACGCAGGAATTCTGTGAAGTTATTTTTCCTAATTGGGAAGCAACCGTTTGTGTGTGTGTGCGATGCTGTGATTTCTGGAGGGAAGTGAATATATTAATACAGTTCTCTGTTTGAGTATGTATCGGACACAGACGTCTTTTCAAGGAACAAACGTGCTTTTCATTCTGGGTGTTTCGATGAGCTGCGAGTCACTGTTGGAAGCATCACTGCAGTTTTGAGGGGAAAGGGTTTCCTTTGAATGCCTGCACAAGAGGCCTTTCTCTGCCAGGTTACTGGGGCACAGTGTAGTGAGGCCCAGGGCCAACAGGACAGAAATCAACTCAGGGCAGAAACAGAATGCGCCTTCAGTCTGCGCTGGGGCCCGGGGGCCCACTCCGTGCAGGCTTTGCTCTGGGAGAACAAAGAGGTGCTGTCGGGCCCCCAAGGCTGGCAGGGCCTGAGGTGTTGCAGAGTTTGCTGGGATGTGGCCAGCTGCAATTATCCAAGCTGCTCCACAGCCGGATGGACGCCCTGCCCATTCGGGTCTGTCCGTCTTGCAGGGGTGGTGGGTGGCCACCAGAATTGTCCTGGGGAGAGAAAGGTGAGGGCAGGCCGGGAGATTGCAGTGGCTCATGCCTGTCATCCCAGCACTTTGGGAGGCCGAGACGGTGGATCACCTGAGGTCAGGGGTTCAAGACCAGCCTGGCCAACATGGTGAAACCCCCGTCTCTACAAAAATACAAAAATTAGCCAGGCACGGTGGCTCACACCTGTCATCCCAGCACTTTGGGAGGCCGAGGTGGTGGATCACCTGAGGTCAGGAGTTCGAGACCAGCCTGGCCAACATGGTGAAACCCCGTCTCTACAAAAATACAAAAATTAGCCAGGCATGGTGGCTCACACCTGTCATCCCAGCACTTTGGGAGGCCGAGGCAGGAGGATTGTTTAAGCCCAGGAGGTCAAGACCAGCCTTGGCAACATGGCGAGCCCCATCTCTAGAGAATATTTAAAAATTAGCTGAGCATCCTGGCGTGTGCCTGTGGTCCCAGCTACTCGGGAGGCTGAGGTAGGAGGATCGTTTGAGCCTGGGAGGTTGAGGCTTCAGTGAGCCGAGATCTCACCACCGCTCTCCAGCCGAGGCAGGAATGAAAGACTCTGTCCCTAAAAGCATTAAATTTTAAAAAGCAGCCAGATATCGTGGCTCACACCTGTTATCCCAGCACTTTGGGAAGCTGAGGTGGGAGGATCACCTGAGGTCAGGAGTTCGAGACCAGCCTGACCAACATGCTGAAACCCCGTCTCTACAAAAATACAAAAATTAGCCAGACGTGGTGGCTCACACCTGTCATCCCAGCACTTTGGGAAGCTGAGGCAGGCAGATCACCTGAGGTCAGGAGTTCGAGACCAGCCTGGCCAACATGGTGAAACCCCGTCTTTACAAAAATAGAAAAATTAGCTGGGCATGATGGCGGGTGCCTGTAATCCCAGCTACTTGGGAGACTGAGGCAGAAGAATCACTTGAACCCAGGAGACAGACGTTGCAGTGAGCCGAGATCACAGCATTGCACTCCAGCCTGGACAGCAGAGCGAGACTCCCTCTCGAAAAAATAAAAATAAAAATAAAATAAAAAGCGAGAATGGGGAGGGAAGAGTAGCGAGGAAGATTCCGGAAGACTCTGCTCCTCTGTGGGATGTAGGTCCAGGAACAAAGAGCTGGGTCAGCGCTTCCCAGGGAGGTGAGGAAGGAGGGAGCCACAACGGTTGTAGAGGGAGAGAAGCTCCTTCCTTCATCCACCTGAGCCCGGGTCTCCTGTGTGGCCACAGCCTCTGCAGCCTCTGCCCCACCTGCAGCTGCTCAGAAATGCAAACTCACCCACTGTATGACATGCTCTGGATCTCAGTCGGCCTTCGCCCCGCAGACCTGGGTGGTTGATCGAACACTAAAGCTCCAGACCTGGAGATGCCTCAGAGGAAGCACCTGGCAAGTAGGATCTCCCTGGTCCTGCGCCGACCCAAAGCTCCCAGCTAGGTGCGTGCAGTGAGAGGTCAAAGAGGGATCAAGTTTATATCTGCCGCTTGCATTCCGCACGATGACTTAAAACAAACAAACAAAACAAACAAACAAAAAAAAACAAAAAACCCAGCCGAGCACAGTGTCATCCCAGCACTTTGGGAGGCCGACAGGGGTGGATCACGAGGTCAAGAGATCGAAACCAGCCTGGCCAACGTGGTGAAACCCCGTCTCTACTAAAAATACAAATATTAGCTGGGCGTGGTGGCGGGCACCTGTAACCCTAGCAACTCGGGAGGCTGAGGCAGGAGAATCACTTGAACCCGGGAGGCGGAGCTTGCAGTGAACAGAGATCATGCCCCTGTACTCCAGCCTGGCGACAGAGCGAGACTCTGTCTCAAAATGAATAAATAAATAGGAAAGTAGTGTGGGTCTGCATTCTGCAGGTTTTGGAAACACATTTCCGAGTGCATATTTCAGGTGAGGAGAGGTGGGGACTCCAGGCAGCGTGCACAGTTTAGACTCTAACCGTGGGCCGGGAGTGGTGGCTCACTCCTATAATCCCAGCACTTTGGGAGGCCGAGGTGGGCGGATCACAAGGTCAGGAGTTCGAGACCAGCCTGGCCAATATGGTGAAGCCCCATCTGTACTAAAAATCCAAAAATTAGCCAGATGTGGTGGCGTGCACCTGTCATCCCAGCTACTGGGGAGGCTGAGGCAGGAGAATCGCTTGAACCCGGTGGAGGCGGAGGTTGCAGTGAGCCGAGATCGCGCTGCTGTACTCCAGCCTGGGTGACAGAGCGAGACTCCCTCCCAAAAAAAGAAACCACCGTAACTGTGGCAGTAAGAGGCCAGGAACTCTCACAGATACCTCGTCCAAAACCGGCAAAGGAGAGGATGGAACATTTGCTGTAGAGGTTTTCCTGCCTCTTCATAACTCCTTGAGGCTGTGTCCTCATCCATCTTCCAGAAACCAAAAACCCTTCACACATCGCCCCTTTTGTCCCGAGCGGCGCCCGCTGCCACCTGCTTGGCAAAATAAAACGTAAGTGGAAAAATGCTCCCTTTTCCATTTTCCTCTCTAATTGAATTCTCTCCTGACCTCTCGGTTCCCCACGGCTGTGTTTCAGGTTTTGATGATAAGGAAAAGAACTCTGTATTTGGATAATACGATTTTCAGCAACCTTCAACTCAATTTCCTCTCCCCGGAGACAGTGTATCTTATAGGATAGAATGAAATCCCTTATTCATAGGGAAAAAGTTCCAATTTAATCTGAATATTCAGCGTGCCGCCGTGGCCGGGGTGATGGATGGCGTATGGAAATATCACAGTTCAAGCAATCAGATGTCAGAATGCACTCTGCTACTGGAAGAAATAATGACGCCTATCCAATTTTCTATAAGGCGCAGAAATGCACGTTGCATCGTGAGGACCCCGGCTTTCTCCTATTACCTTACTAATCACATCTCCATTTAAACACAGAACAGAAAAGGAAGCGTGGTCACAAATTAAGAATTAATGGAAGTGAGACTCCGCAATGGATTCGGGGCCGAGGGCCAAAGGCGGCCGCCACGTGCCGCTATTTACATGAAGTCACAGAGATGACGGGGATGAGCGGGGTCCCCTTGTCAGAAGCTGCTGGGCCAGATGAACCTGACAAGTATCTCCTAAGAAGGATTTAGAAAAGGGGAAGATGAAATCTTTGGAGGTAATGGAGAATTAGAAGCATGTCATTACCTATAAATCCTGCGGCCCTGCACACGCTGTTGACAGCCCGGAAGATGAGACTGGCTGAGAGGAAAAAGATTCTGAGCCTGGAACAAGCGGACCCAGATTCTAGGTGGCCAGGCTGTGTGGTTGCTTTTATCATTCCGGGAGACTTTCGGGAGGAAATGTTTGCAAAGAGCACGCAGATGGGGAAATGTTTGCAAAGAGCACGCAGATGGCATTTTCTTTTCTCTCTATTTTTTTTTTTTTGAGACGTAGTTTTTGCTCTTGTCGCCCAGGTTGGAGCCGCCTCCCGGGTTCAAGCGATTCTCCTGCCTCAGCCTCCCAAGTAGCTGGGATTACAGGCACCTGCCACCACGCCCGGCTACCTTTTATATTTTTAGTAGAGACTGGGTTTTGCCGCGTTGGCCAGGCTGGTCTCGAACTCCCGACCTCAGGAGATCTGCCCGTCTCGGCCTCCGAAAAGTGCTGGGATTACAGATGTGAGTCACCGCGCCTGGCCAGCATTTTGTATCACCCCTAACTGCATCTATTTTGGTGTTGTTCATGATAATAATAAATGTCATGCATATCTCTGATTGAACTTGGCCCGTGCTTGAGCTCATTAGAAACAGGTTTTCCTATGTGTCATCTCTTATTTTTCTTGGTAATACTTGGAGCTGAGATTTCTTTTTCTCTCTCTTTCTTCCTCTCTCTTTCTCTCTTTCTTCCTCTCTCTTTCTCTCTTCCTTCCTCTCTCTTTCTCTCTTCCTTCCGAGACAGGGTCTCACTCCGTTACCCAGGCTGGAGTGCGGTTGTACGATCACAGCTGCTGTCTTGACCTCCTAGGCTCAAGTGATCCTCCACCCTCAGCCTCCCGAGTAGCTGAGACTGCAGGCATGCACCGCCATGCCCGCCTAATTTTTTTATTTTTTTCTAGAGATGGGGTCTGACTATGTTGCCCAGGCTGGTCTCAAACTCTTGGCCTCAAGCAATCCTCCTGCCTCGACCTCCCAAAGTGCTGGGATTACAGGCGTGAGCTACCGCACGCAGCCTTGAATCCTTTTAATAAGTACTTTCCTCTTATCCACGACCCAGAACATCACACTGTAGACAGTTGTTTAGGGTTTTGAAAGATTTATATTTTTAATTTTTTTTTTTTTTTTGAGACAGTCTTGCTCTTTTGCCCAGGCCGGACTGCAGTGGCACAATCTCGGCTCACTGCAAGCTCCACCTCCCGGGTTCACGCCATTCTCCTGCCTCAGCCTCCCGAGTAGCTGGGACCACAGGTGCCCACCACCACGCCCGGCTAATTTTTTGTATTTTTAGTAGAGGTGGGATTTCACCGTGTTAGTCAGGATGGTCTCGATCTCCTAGCCTTGTGATCCGCCCGCCTCAGCCTCACGAAGTGCTGGGATGACAGGCGTGAGCCACCGCGCCCGGCCAATTTTTTTTTTGAGCTAGGATCTCACTCTGTCACCAGGTTGGAGTGCAGTGGTGCGATCTCAGCTCACTGCAACCTCCGCCTCCCAGGCTCAAGCGATCCTCCCACCTCAGCCTCCCAATTAGCTGGGACCACAGGCACCTGCCACCACACCTGGCTAATTTTTTTTGTAGAGACGGGGTTTTGACATGTTGTCCAGGCTGGTCTCAAACTCCTGAGCTCAAGCAATCTACTGGTCTCGGCCTCCCAAAGTGCGGAGATGACCACCATGAGTGACCGTGCCAGGCCTCTGTTTTTAATTTTGTAATTGAGATACATTCCACATAACATAAAAGGAACCGTTTTAAAGTGAACAGGGGCATTTAAAACATCCACAATGGCGTACCACCACCTCTGTCTAGTTCCGGAACACTTGCGCTGGGCATGGTGGTTCACGCCTGTCATCCCAGCACTTTGGGAGGCCGAGGCGGGCGGATCACCTGAGGTCAGGAGTTCAAAACCAGCCTGGCCAACATGACGAAACCCCATCTCTACTAAAAATACAGAAGTTAGCTGGGTTTGGTGGCTGGTGCCTGTAATCCCAGATACTTGGGAGGCTGAGGCAGGAGAATCACTTGAGCCTGGGAGGCGGAGGTTGCAGTGAGCCGAGATCACGCCACTGCGCTCCAGGCTGGGCCACAGAGCGAGACCCGGTCTCAAAAATAAACAAACAAACCAACAACAACAAAAGGTCTGGAGCATTTTCTTCACCCCAAAAGTAAACCCTGTCCCCATTAACAGTCATTCGTCCCCCTCCCCATCCCCTGGCAACCACCCATCCACTTTCTGCCTCCATGGATTTGCCTGTTCTGGACCTTTCCTAGAAATGGAATCTTACTCTATGTGGCCTTTTGTGTCTGGCTTCTCTCACGGAGTGTGACATCCTCAAGGCTCATCCACATTGCAGCCTGTGTCACAGCCTCGTTCCTTTTCATGGCTGCATACTATTCCACCATGTGGATGGACCACATTGTGCTAATCCACCCATCCACTGGTGGACACTTGAGTGGTTTCTGCTTTTGGGCCGTTACGAAATCCAGCTACTGTGAAACAGTTCACTTTTATTTTATTTTATTTATTTATTTTTTTGAGATGGAGTCTCGCTATCTCGCCTGTGCTATAGTGGCAGAATCTCGGCTCACTGCAAGCTCCGCCTCCCAGGTTCAAGTGACTCTCCTGCCTCAGCCTCCCGAGTAGCTGGGATTACAGTCACCCACCAGCATGCCCAGCTAATTTTTGTAGTTTTAGTAGAGACAGGGTTTCACCATGTTGGCCGGGCTGGTCTCGAACTCCTGACCTCAGGTGATCCACCCGTCTCAGTCTCCCAAAGTGCTGGGATGTTGCAGGCGTGAGCCACCGCGCTGGCCTCTAGGTGATTCTTTAACTAGAACGATAGATATCGGACTTTTGCTATGGGGTGGATTTTCCTCCTAATCTGAAATGAGGCAAAAAGTCTTAGCATGTCAGATGTGACGCCTTCTTTTATTTCGCTCAGCATAAATTTTAAGCAAATTGAGAATGGAGCCTGGGTACCCATTTCGGTAAAAGCTTTGTTTTTTTTTTTCTGCGTAAGACCTACATTTGACTCAGAGTGTAGTTGGTGAAATGCACATTTTTCTTAATGACAGAAGGACGTATTTCTTTCTTTCTTTCTTTCTTTTTTTTTTTGAGACAGACTGTCACTCTGTCGCCCAGGCTGGAATGCAGTGTCGTGATCTCAGCTCACTGCAAGCTCCGCCTCCCGGGTTCACGCCATTCTCCTGCCTCAGCCTCCCTAGTAGCTGGGACTACAGGCACCCGCCACCACGCCCGGCTAATTTTTTGTATTTTTAATAGAGACAGGGTTTCACCATGTTAGCCAGGATGGTCTCGATCTCCTGACCTCGTGATCCGCCTGCCTCAGTCTCCCACAGTGCTGGGATTACAGGCGTGAGTTACCGTGCCCGGCCGAAATGCACATTTTTCTGAATGACAGAAGGATGTATTTCTTTTTTTTTTTCTTTTTTTGAGACAGAGTCTCGCTCTGTCACCCAGGCTGGAGTGCAGTGGCGCGATCTCGGCTCACTGCAAGCTCCACCTCCCGGGTTCATGCCATTCTCCTGCCTCAGCCGCCTGAGTAGCTGGGACTACAGGCGCCCGCCACCACGCCCGGCTAATTTTTTTGTATTTTTAGTAGAGACGGGGTTTCACCGTGTTAGCCAGGATGGTCTCGATCTCCTGACCTCGTGAGCCGCCCACCTCGGCCTCCTAAAGTGCTGGGATTTACAGGCGTGAGCCACTGCGCCCGGCCAGAAGGACGTATTTCTGATAGCCAGGGGTAGTGATTTACAGCACTGTAGTACAGAAAACTGTTTTTTTCCTCTTTGTAAAAGGAGTAGTTGCTGATTGGAGAAAACTTGGGAAGTACAGAGAGTATTCAAAAATCAGGGCTGGGCTTTGGGAGGCTGAGGCAGGCGGATCACAAGGTCAGGAGTTCGTGACCAGCCTGACCAACATGGTGAAACCCCGTCTCTACTAAAAATACAAAATTAGCTGGGTGGGGTGGTGGGCACCTGTAATCCCAGCTACTCAGGAGGCTGAGGCAGGAGAACCACTTGAACCCAGGAGGCGGAGGTTGCAATGAGCCGAGATTGCACCACTGCACTCCAGCCTGGGCAACAGAGCGAGATGCCATCTGAAAAAAAAAAAAAAAAAAAAAAAGCCGGGCCGGATGGCTCCTGCCTGTAATCCCAGTACTTTGGGAGGCTGAGGTGAGAGGATCACTGGAGCCTAGGAATTTGAGATGAGCTTGGGCAACATAGCAAGACCCCATCTCTACCAAAAAGCAAAATTAGCTGGGCATGGTGGCCCATGCTGTAGTCCCAGCTACTCGGGAGGCTGAGGCAGGCGGATTACTTGATCCCAGGAGTTTGAAACTAGTCTGGGCAACGTAGTGAGATGCCATCTCTACCCCCCCCCCAAAAAAAATTAGCCCAGCATGGTGGTGTGCACCTGTAGTCCTAGCTACTCGGGAGGCTGAGGTGGGAGGATCACTTGAGCCCAGGAGGTCAAGGCTGCAGTGAGCCGAGATCACACCATTGCATTCCAGCCTGGGCAACAGAGCAAGACCCTGTCTCACATAAAATAAAATAAATAGGCCGGGCGCAGTGGCTCATGCCTGTCATCCCACACTTTGTGAGGCCGAGGCGGGCGGATCACGAGGTCAGGAGTTTGAGACCATCCTGGCCAACATGGTGAAACCCCGTCTCTACTAAAAATACAAAAAAAAAAAAATAGCCGGGCATGGTGGCGGGCGCCTGTAGTCCCAGCTACTCGGGAGGACGAGGCAGGAGAATGGCGTGAACCCGGGAGACGGAGCGTGCAGTGAGCCGAGATCGTGCCACTGCACTCCAGCCTGGGCGACAGAGCGAGACTCCGTCTCAAAAAAAAAAAAAAAGTCCAGACATGGTTGTTCAACAGCACAGAGGGACGTCTTGCTGAGAAGTGGCCGGACGAGGCTGCCCCAGACACCGCAGCCCTCTCCTCCTGCCCCCCACACCCTCCAGGACTGAAGAGGCCGTAGGCTCGGCCGGCAGCATCTGCTCCCTTTGTCCTCCAAAGGAACCCGTGTGTGGAAGGAATGCCTCCGGGGAGAACAGCTGACGTCCGGTGCCGTTTTGGCAGCACGGAACCCCAGTTATTTTCAGATGTCTTGTTCGTGCCCCAGAGGTCAGGGACCAGCAGCTTTCAGGAAGCCTCGGCCAGGCACTGCGTTAACTCCGCGATGACTTTCTGGCTGCAGAATCCCAACTATGCAATTCACTCTTAATCCCCAGCTTCAAGGCACTGTCAGGCGTTTCCGTGACAAAAACTCTCTCTTTTTTTTTTCTTTTCTTCTTTTGTTTTTTTTTTTTTTTTTTTTGAAATGGAGTCTTGCTCTGTCACCCAGGCTGGAGTGCAGTGGTGTTATCTCTGCTCACAGCAACCTCCGCCTCCCGGGTTCAAGCGATTCTCCTGCCTCAGCCTCCCGAGTAGCTGGGACTACAGGCACCCGCCACCACGCCCGGCTAATATTTTGTATTCCTTGTAGAGATGGGGTTTCAGCATCTCTACGCTATTTCCAAATAAGGTCCCAGGCTGGGGGCGGTGGCTCACACCTATAATGTTGGCCAGGCTGGTCTCGACCTCCTGACCTCAAGCGATCCACCCGCCTCGGCCTCCCAAAATGCCGGGATGACAGGCGTAAGCCAACGCGCCCGGCCAGAAACCTGCTATATTCTGCACCGTTTTTCCGGGTCCAGGCAGACGTGGGTCCCTGTGGTTTCAGAGCACAAGTGGTGTTTTATGGAATCATCTTCGCTGTGGCAAGCACACTATGGTAGATGGGATAGGGTGGGTGTTGGTGGTGAGGAAGAGGTCGTGCCCGTCCGTGGATGACGTGGGAAGCTCTCGAAGAGTTGCTGGCATTTGTACCTGTTTGCACGCAGCAGCGCTCTGAGTGGCAGAGACAGGATGTCCCCCAGATCCCACGTCCCCGCAGTTGTTAGTGAGACGGATGCCTCGGGATGTGCCTTGGTCTCTGGTTTGAGAACGTTTCTGTTGACTTGCCATTTTCTAACCACGGGGCGCACAGCAGAGTCAGAACTGGGTTACAGAACGTGGGCTATGGACTCCAGTTGCCTTTCTGACCTACTTTATTTTGTTTTGTTATTTTATTTTATTTATTTATTTATTTTTTGAGACGGAGTCTCGCTCTGTCGCCCAGGCTGGAGTGCAGTGGTGCGATCTCGGCTCACTGCAAGCTCCGCCTCCCGGGTTCACACCATTCTCCTGCCTCAGCCTCCCGAGTAGCTGGGACTACAGGCGCCCGCCACCACACCCGGCTAATTTTTTGTATTTTTAGTAGAGACGGGGTTTCACCGTGTTGGCCAGGCTGGTCTCAAACTCCTGACCTCAAGTGATCGGCCCACCTTGGCCTCCCAAAGTGCTGGGATTACAGGCGTGAGCCATCACGTCCGGCCTTCAAGTACACTTTCTGTTGAATGCATACTGCTTTCTCTCCAGCATAAAGTTAAAAAATCCTGAATTGCACCATTGGAAGCTGGGGACTGTCTGTATGCAATATTATGTATAGTTTGATTTCTTTTTTTGCATTTTTTTTTTAAATTTTTTTGAGACAGAGTTACACTCTTGTTGCCCAGGCTGGAGTGCAGTGGCACGATCTCAGCTCACTGCAACCTCCACCTCCCGGGTTCAAGCAATTCTCCTGCCTCAGTCTCCCAAGTAGCTGGGATGACAGGCGTGAGCCACCACGCCCGGCTAATTTTGTATTTTTAGTGGAGATGGGGTTTCTCCATGTTGGCCAGGCTGGTCTCGAACTCCTGACCTCGTGATCCGCTCGCCTCAGCCACCCAAAGTGCTGAGATAACAGGCGTGAGCCACCGTGCCTGGCTAATTTTGTATTTTTAGTGGAGATGGGGTTTCTCCATGTTGGCCAGGCTGGTCTCGAACTCCTGACCTCGTGATCCGCTCGCCTCAGCCACCCAAAGTGCTGAGATAACAGGCGTGAGCCACCGTGCCGGGCTAACTTTGTATTTTTAGTGGAGATGGGGTTTCTCCATGTTGTCCAGGCTGGTCTCGAACTCCTGACCTCATGACCCGCTCGCCTCGGCCACCCAAAGTGCTGAGATGACAGGCGTGAGCCACCGTGCCCGGCTAATTTTGTATTTTTAGTGGAGATGGGGTTTCTCCATGTTGTCCAGGCTGGTCTCGAACTCCTGACCTCATGACCCGCTCGCCTCGGCCACCCAAAGTGCTGAGATGACAGGCGTGAGCCACCGCGCCCGGCTAATTTTGTATTTTTAGTGGAGACGGGGTTTCTCCATGTTGGCCAGGCTGGTCTCGAACTCCTGACCTCATGACCCGCTCGCCTCGGCCACCCAAAGTGCTGGGATGACAGGCGTGAGCCACCGCGCCCGGCCACAGTTACACACGGACACAGAGCCAAGGGGCCACCTGAACTCCCTCTCAGCCCTGGAATGAAAGACCATAGGACCAGGCGCGGCGGCTCATGCCCACAATCCCAGCACAGTGGGAGGCCGAGGCAGGAGGATCGCTTGAGGCCTGGAGTTCGAGACCAACCTGGGCCACCTAGCAAGACCCTGCCCCTACCAAAAAATGTAAACAATAAAAATAAATGAAAAGCAACAATAAAAGAAGGTAGACCACGTGTTGCGGGACCTTCCTCTCCTGGGGCGCCTTGTGGGTGTGGGCAGGGGAGGCTATTCCCGGCCTTTCACGTTCTAAAAACATCCCGTGGAAAGTGTACAGACGGCATCTGTGGGGCTCACCTCTGTGCCCGTCACTCGATCGTGGGCCTGCTGAGTGGCGCTATTTTTGGAGGGCAGCTGGGGGAGGGAGGAATTGGTACGATTTTGCTATTATAGGAAGGAAGACTAAGGGATTCCTAGGCTTGCTTACATGCTTTTTTTTTTTTTGAGACGGAGTCTCGCTGTGTCGCCCAGGCTGGAGAGCAGTGGCCCCATCTCATCTGACTGCAAGCTCTGCCTCCCGGGTTCACGCCATTCTCCAGCCTCAGCCTCCTAGAGAGTAGCTGGGGCTACAGGCGCCCGCCACCAACACCCGGCTAATTTTTTGTATGTTTAGTAGAGACAGGGGGTCTCACCGTGTTAGCCCGGATGGTCTCAAGATCTCCTGAACTTGTGATCCGCCCGCCTCGGCCTCCCAAAGTGCTGGGATTAGAGGCGTGAGCCACCGCGCCCGGCCGCCTACATGATTGTTATAAGCCATGACCCTTTCGGCATATGAGAGAGTGTGTGAATCCTGTCAGTTCAGGGTTAGAAGCCCAGGATGCATGATTGAGGTGGCTGTCTGCAATAGCAACTTGCTTTCTCATGGCAGAAAATTAGATTTTTTTTTTTTCTTTTTGAGACAGACTCTTTCTCTGTCACTCAGACTGGAGTGCAATGGCACGATCACAGCTCACTGCAGCCTCAAACTCCTGGGCTCCAGCAATCCTCCCACCTCAGCCTCCTGAGCACCAGGGACCACAGGCGTGCACCACCATACCCAGCTAATTTTTAAATTTCTTTAGAAATGAGATCTCGCTATGTTGCCCAGGCTGGTCTCAAACTCCTGGGCTTAAGCCATCCTCCTGCTTCAGCCTCCCAAAGTGCTGGGATTACAGGCGTGAGCCACTGCACCTGGCCCATGTATGCATTTTAATATATATTAAAGAGACGGAGTTTCGCTCTTGTCACCCAGGCTGGAGGGCAGTGGTGCGATCTTGGCTCACTGCAACCTCCGCCTCCCAGGTTCAAGCCATTCTCCTGCCTCAGTCTCCCAAGTAGCTGGGATTACAGGTGCTCACCACCATGTCTTCTATCCTTAAAGAACGGGGAAATTTGGGTGCAGATGTGTGTGTGTGTGTGTGTGTGTGTGTATGTGTGTGTGTGTATATATCTGTGTGTGTGTATATATGTGTGTGTCTGTATATATATGTGTGTATGTGTGTATATATATAAAATACAATATAAATTTTTTAAAAAATATAGTTTATAAAATTATGTTTTATAAAAAATTTTAAAATATAGAAACAAAATTATAGTTTGTAAAAACATTTTTACACATATGACAATATGTAAAATTGTATTTTATAAAAAGTTTTAAAATATGAAAATATATAAAATTACATTTTATAAAAACATAAGCCCTTCACCCTTCTTCTGTATTAAATTAGCAACCTGCAAAGCTGACCTCCGGGAGTCTCAGAGAGGCTGGCTTGTTTAATGGAACCGTGTATTCTTTTTTGTTTGTTTGTTTTTTGAGGCGGAGTCCCGCTCTGTCGCCTGGGCTGGAGTGCAGTGGTGCAATCTGGGCTCACTGCAAGCTCCGCCTCCCGGGTTCACGCCATCCTCCTGCCTCAGCCTCCCGAGTAGCTGGGATGACAGGTGCCCGCCACCACGCCCGGCTCATTTTTTGTAGTTTTGGTAGAGACGGGGTTTCACTGTGTTACCCAGGATGGTCTCGATCTCCTGAACTCGTGATCCACCCGCCTCGGCCTCCCATAGTGCTGGGATGACAGGCGTGAGCCACCGTGCCCGGCCAGAAGAAAGCCTTTATGGAGAAGAATGTTGACACTATGACAGCGAATTGTGTGCCTGCTGGCTGTCTGGGTTTAACCCACCCCTCACAGCCCCACCCAGCCCCCACCAATCAGAACGTGAGCCGCCGAGGACAGGAAGGTTTCTCCTTGGTCTGTTTCTCTCACTACAGGGACCCCGGGAAATAGAATGGCACCTGTCACACGGTAGCTTTCAGACAGACACATTCAGAGTCCAGAATGTTCACCATTACACCATGGAACTGTCTTCACGGTAGCTTCCTAATACATGTTTGTTCCCTCGATAAATGAAACAAGGGCGTCGGGGCTCCAGCCTGTCATCCCAGCACTTTGGGAAGTAGAGGTGGGTAGGTTCCTTGAGTTCAGGAGTCTGAGACCAGCCTGGACAACACAGCAAGATCCAGTCTCTGCAAAAAAAAAAAAAATACACTAAATTAGCCGGGCATGGTGGCACCTGCCTGTAGGCCCAGCTACAAGGAGATAGGAGGATCACTTTAAATGTTTTGAGTCACCAACTTGGAAACATTCTTTTTGTAGAATCTCCAAAGTGACGTTTCTGAGTCCATCGAGGCTTGTAAGGAAACATAGAATATCCAATGATAAAAGCTAGAAACAAGCTATCTATGAAAATGCTTTGATGTGTGACTGAGTATGTGTGTGTGAGGGTATGTGTGAGTGCGTGAGTGTGAACGTATGAGTATGTGTGTGTGTGTGAGGGTGTGTGTGTGAGGGTATGTGTGTGTGATTCAGCATTTGGCTCTGTGAGGGTACGTGTGAGTGTGAGCACGTGGCTATTTGTGTGTGTGTGAGGGTATGTGTGAGTGCGTGTGTGATTGAGCACGTGACTGTATGTGTGTGCATGTGTGTGAGGGTACGTGTGAGTGCGTGAGCCTGTGACTGAGCACGTGGTTCTGTGTGTGCGTGTGTGTCCTTGCAGCTGGCAGGGGGTGTTGCCCAGGGAAGAACTGGGGGAAGCAGCTTTCTCCCCACTCAGGAGAGGGCCCGCACAGGGGAGCGGCCACGCAGGCCGCGCAGGAGCTTGTCCTCCTGACTTGGAGTCCCTGGCAGGAACCTGATGCTGGAGTGAAGAATATGCCTCGTTTAGGGGGCACCGTGGTTCCCACTTCCCAGCTGAGGAAGCCCCTTGGAGACAGTGGGGCTGAGATTCAGAGCCCGCCCTGGGACCCACAGTCGGATCGCTGCTCTCCCTAGGAGACCTCCTGGGCTCCCATTTTCCCTTCTCTGCCACAGTTGCCACCTGCGTGCTGGGGCGGCAAAGCGTAAAGGCTGGCAGGTCCTTCCTCAACCCCGGAAGGTGGGAACCACAGCACGGTCATTGCCGGCGTAAAACCCCAGGGCCGTCAGGTGCTGTGTGCAGATTGAACAGCTTCATGCTTCTACGCTCACCTGCAACGGAATAGGTCGGCCCCTGGGACCACATTGTGAAATGCAATCTGAGCATTCTCTGGGCAATGACGGTGCAACCTGGACAGGCTCGGGGGGTCCCCAGCGCAGACATTGAACCTCCTCTTTGTCATTTTCCTAAAGGTTGGAAGTAGAAATCGTCCTAAATCATAGCCACGCGATTTCTCTCCGGAAAGGACGACATTTGGGTCATGTAGGGTTCACGTCTGCAAACTCTGAACTTCTTTTTTTTTCTTTTCTTTTCTTTTTCTTTTTTTTTTTTTTTTTTTTTTTTTTGAGATGGAGTCTTGCGCTGTTGCCCAGGCTGGAGTGCAGTGGTACGATCTCAGGTCACCACAACCTCCGCCTCTCTGGTTCAAGCGATTCTCCTGCCTCAGCCTCCCGAGTAGCTGGGATTACAGGCACCTGCCATCATGCCCAGCTAATTATTATTATTATTATTTTTTGAGACGGCGTCTCTCTCCGTCTCCCAGGCTGGAATGCAGTGGCACGATCTCGGCTCACCGCAACCTCCACCTCCCAGTTCAAGCGATTCTCCTGCCTCAGCCTCCCGAGTAGCTGGGATTACAGGTGTGCACCATCATGCCTGGCTAATTTTTGTATTTTTAGTAGAGACGGGGGTTTCACCTTGTTGGCCAGGCTGGTCTCGAACTCCTGACCTCAGGGGATGCACCCACCTCAGCCTCCCAAAGTGCTGGGATTATAGGCATAAGCCACCGCACCCGGCCACCCCTGCACTTCTTTGTGTCCTTTCTTTCAAGGAAAGGACACAATGCTGGAATTATTAAATAAGTCCTCTTTGAGATAAACGGGAATGGTTCGTGTCTTGACAGTGAGCATTTGCAGTAGAAATCACGCACACTCAGCAGAGGGCTGCACAAGGCCAGCCGTGCTCCACCTGCCCCCCTCAAAAATCGGCCTCCGCACCTGCTGCGGCCATTTCATTACATCTCAAAACAACGTCAACTTATTTAATAAATAGGAGAATTTTTAAATCAAGTCCCGAGGCAGGATGTATAAACTTTAGTATTGATTATGCGTCCCTAAAAGCGCTCTCAGTAAAGGGACTTTGCTTCCTTTTCCTCAGGTTCCTATGAAGTCGTTTAATCCGTCTAACTCTTATTTTATGTTGTTTTCCCCGTTTTTATTACTTTATATGACAGTACATCTTTGTAGCCACAAACTCAATAGCATAATTGTGTGTTTTTTTTTCCCTGAGACAACAATGTGCTTTTTGTTCGAGGAGGTAATAATTCTTGACAAAATCTGTTTTAATGTCGTACCGAAAAAAAAAACAAACCCCACAAAACCCTTAACGGACATTTGTAGTCCCCATTGGATCTAAAACACTGTGATATTGTTTGTGTAATCTGCTTTTAAAGTCACCAAAAGTGCTTTGTTGTAAATACTCTGTGATAACATTTGCTTTGTTAACGTATTTTAAATGAAATATAGTTATAATTTCCCTCATGACATTTTCATTTAAATTTAAATGTCATGAGGGAAATTATAATTTAATTTAAAAAACGATTTAAATTTATTTAATAAATTTAATTAATAAATAATAATATATAATAAATATATAATAATAAATAAATAATCAAATTTGTTTAAATTTAAATTTATTTAAATTTATTCATTTATTTATTTATGTATTCATTTAGATAGTTATTTAAATTTATTTAAATTTATTATTATTTATTTTTATTTTATTTCATTTTATTTATTTTATTTTATTTTATTTTAGAGACAGGGTCTCCTTCTGTTGCCCAGCTTGGAGCGCACCTGTGTGATCTCGGCTCACTGCAGACTCCGCCTCCTGGGTTCAAGAGATCCTCCTGCCTCAGCGTGCATGCACCACCAAGCCTGGCTCATATTTTTTAGACATTTTAATTTTATTCAGGGTCACAAAGTTACCTTTTTTTTTTTTTTTTTTTTTTGAGACAGAGTCTTGCTCTGTCGCCCAGGCTGGAGTGCAGAGGTGCAATCTCGGCTCGCCGCAACCTCCGCCTCCCGGGTTCAAGCGATTCTCCTGCCTCAGCCTCCCGAGTAGCTGGGATGACAGGCACCCGCCACCACGCCCGGCTACTTTTTGTATTTTTAGTGGAGACGCGGTTTCACCATGTTGGCCAGGCTGGTCTCGAACTCCCGACCTCGAGTGATCCTCCCGCCTCGGCCTCCCAAAGTGCTGGGATGACAGGCATGAGCCACCTCGCCCGGCCACACAGTCACCTTTTTATGTGACGCGCATCGTGTAGATGGAAGAGAAATCAAACGGCACCGTCTGCCGGGGCGGGATTGCAGCCCGTTCCAATGTCTCATTTATTCCCCGGGTGCTGGGAGAGTCTCTGGGATGACAAGACTGATGGTTCCTAACCCAGGCCGGGGCAACGCATGACTTTTGACGCCTCGGAGAAGCCCTTCCTTCCTGGACTGTATTCTGACAGGGAGTGCGTCTCACGCTTTACCCGACGGCGCCCAGAGCGACCTTCATCGCGGCCCACCGGCCAGGGCCGTCTTCTGGATCTTCAGCGGCTTGAGGAACTTTCTGTCCCCTTCTGGGTTGACTGAATTTTTATCGCGAAAAGGCACTGCCTTTGCTCAAATGCTTTTCCTGCATTTCTGCAAATGGTCATGTGAGTTTGGCCCCTTAGCCATGAATACGGTGCGTCACATTCACTGGTTTTCCAGAAAAGAGCTGTATAGAGAGAGAATTTACACAGCTGACAATGTGTCCGTTTAAACTCTTCCAACCCGTGGCTTTCTGTATGCAGAGACTTGTGCCACCATCACCACAGTCTATTTTATTGCTTTACTTATATTTGTTTTTTTTTTTTTTTTTGAGACAGGGTCTCGCTCCTGTAGCCTTGGACTCTCAGGCTCAAGGGATCCTCCCTCCTCAGCTCCCCAAGTAGCCGGGCAACGTGGCTTCTCCCGAGTAGCTGGGTGACGCTGTTTCTCCAGAGTAGCTGGGTGACGCGGTTCCTCCCGAGTATCTGGGTGACGCGGCTTCTCCAGAGTTTCTGGGTGACGCGGCTTCTCCAGAGTAGCTGGAGGATGCTGTTTCTCCCGAGTAGCTGGGTGACGCTGTTTCTCCAGAGTAGCTGGGTGACGCGGTTTCTCCCGAGTATCTGGGTGAGGCGGCTTCTCCAGAGTTTCTGGGTGACGTGGCTTCTCCAGAGTAGCTGGAGGATGCTGTTTCTCCCGAGTAGCTGGGTGACGCCGTTTCTCCCGAGTAGCTGGGTGACGCTGTTTCTCCCGAGTAGCTGGGTGACGCTGTTTCTCCCGAGTAGCTGGGTGATGTTGTTTCTCCGGAGTAGCTGGTGACGCCGTTTCTCCCGAGTAGCTGGGTGACGCCGTTTCTCCCGAGTAGCTGGGTGACGCTGTTTCTCCCGAGTAGCTGGGTGATGTTGTTTCTCCGGAGTAGCTGGTGACGCTGTTTCTCCGGAGTAGCTGGTGATGCCGTTTCTCCAGAGTAGCTGGTGATGCCGTTTCTCCCGAGTAGCTGGGTGATGCTGTTTCTCCAGAGTAGCTGGTGACGCTGTTTCTCCAGAGTAGCTGGTGACGCTGTTTCTCCCGAGTAGCTGGGTGAAGCCGTTTCTCCAGAGTAGCTGGTGACGCCGTTTCTCCCGAGTAGCTGGTGACGCCGTTTCTCCCGAGTAGCTGGTGACGCCGTTTCTCCCGAGTAGCTGGTGACGCCGTTTCTCCCGAGTAGCTGGTGACGCCGTTTCTCCAGAGTAGCTGAGTGACGCCGTTTCTCCCGAGTAGCTGGTGACGCCGTTTCTCCCGAGTAGCTGGTGACGCTGTTTCTCCCGAGTAGCTGAGTGACGCCGTTTCTCCCGAGTAGCTGGTGACGCCGTTTCTCCCGAGTAGCTGGTGATGCTGTTTCTCCCGAGTAGCTGGTGATGCTGTTTCTCCCGAGTAGCTGGGTGACGCCGTTTCTCCCGAGTAGCTGAGTGACGCCGTTTCTCCCGAGTAGCTGAGTGACGCCGTTTCTCCCGAGTAGCTGGTGACGCCATTTCTCCTGAGTAGCTGAGTGACGCCGTTTCTCCCGAGTAGCTGGTGACGCCGTTTCTCCCGAGTAGCTGGTGACGCCGTTTCTCCCGAGTAGCTGGGTGACGCCGTTTCTCCCGAGTAGCTGGTGACGCCGTTTCTCCCGAGTAGCTGGTGACGCTGTTTCTCCAGAGTAGCTGGTGACGCTGTTTCTCCCGAGTAGCTGAGTGACGCCGTTTCTCCCGAGTAGCTGGTGACGCCGTTTCTCCCGAGTAGCTGGTGACGCCGTTTCTCCCGAGTAGCTGGTGACGCTGTTTCTCCAGAGTAGCTGGTGACGCCGTTTCTCCCGAGTAGCTGGGTGAAGCCGTTTCTCCAGAGTAGCTGGTGACGCCGTTTCTCCCGAGTAGCTGGTGACGCCGTTTCTCCCGAGTAGCTGGTGACGCCGTTTCTCCCGAGTAGCTGGTGACGCCGTTTCTCCCGAGTAGCTGGTGACGCCGTTTCTCCCGAGTAGCTGGTGACGCCGTTTCTCCCGAGTAGCTGGTGACGCCGTTTCTCCAGAGTAGCTGAGTGACGCCGTTTCTCCAGAGTAGCTGGTGACGCCGTTTCTCCCGAGTAGCTGGTGACGCCGTTTCTCCCGAGTAGCTGGTGACGCCGTTTCTCCCGAGTAGCTGGTGACGCCGTTTCTCCCGAGTAGCTGGTGACGCCGTTTCTCCAGAGTAGCTGGTGACGCTGTTTCTCCAGAGTAGCTGGTGACGCCGTTTCTCCCGAGTAGCTGGGTGATGTTGTTTCTCCGGAGTAGCTGGTGACGCCGTTTCTCCCGAGTAGCTGGTGACGCCGTTTCTCCCGAGTAGCTGAGTGACGCCGTTTCTCCAGAGTAGCTGAGTGACGCCGTTTCTCCCGAGTAGCTGAATGACGCCGTTTCTCCCGAGTAGCTGGTGACGCCGTTTCTCCCGAGTAGCTGGTGACGCCGTTTCTCCCGAGTAGCTGGTGACGCCGTTTCTCCCGAGTAGCTGGTGACGCCGTTTCTCCAGAGTAGCTGGTGACGCCGTTTCTCCCGAGTAGCTGGGTGACGCCGTTTCTCCCGAGTAGCTGGTGACGCCGTTTCTCCGGAGTAGCTGGTGACGCCGTTTCTCCCGAGTAGCTGGGTGACGCGGCTTCTCCCGAGTAGCTGGGTGACGCGGCTTCTCCCGAGTAGCTGGGTGACGCGGTTTCTCCAGAGTAGCTGGGTGATGCGGTTTCTCCCGAGTAGCTGGGTGACGCGGTTTTTCCTGAGTAGCTGGGTGACATGGTTTGGCTATGTCCCCTCCCAAGGTTTACCTTGAACGGTTATCATCCCCACGTGTCAAGGGCAGGGCCAGGTGGAGAGAATTGAATCATAGGGTCAGTTTCCCCCAGACTGTTCTCGTGGTAGTGAATAGGTCTCATGAGATCTGATTTTTTTTTTTTTTTTTTTTTTTGAGACAGAGTCTCGCTCTTGTCACCCAGGCTGGAGTGCAATATCATGATCTCGGCTCACTGCAACCTCTGCCTCCCAAGTAGCTGGGATTACAAGCACCCGCCACCACACCTGGCTAATTTTTTGTATTTTTAATAGAAACGAGGTTTCACCATGTTGGCCACGTTGATCTCAAACTCCTCACCTCAGGTGATCTACCCTCCTCAGCCTCCCAAAGTGCTGGGATGACAGGCGTGAGCCACCGTGCCCGGCCAAGATCTGATGGTTTTATAAATGGGAGCACCCCTCTATACGCCCTTTTTTTGCCTGCCGCCATGTAAGATGTGACTTTGCTCCTTCTTCGTCTTCCGCCATGATTGTGAGGCCTCCCCAGCCATGCGGAAATGTGAGTCCATTAAACCTCTTTCCTTTATAAATTACCCCATCTTCGTTATGCCTTTATTAGCAGCCTGAGAACAGACTAGTACACTTGGACTGTAGGTGCACAACACCATCCCCAGTTAAGTTTTTTTGGTTTGTTTTTTTGTAGAGAGAGGTTCTCCCTATATGCCCAGGCTGGTTTTGAACTCCTGGCCTCAAGTGATCCTCCTGTCCCAGCCTCCAAAACTGCTGGGATTATGGGTATGAACCATGGTGTCCAGACATCAGAATACATTTTATTTTATTTTTGTTTTACTTTATTTTATTTTTTTTTGAGGCAGAGTCTCGCTCTGTCGCCCAGGCTGGAGTGCAGTGGCACGATCTCGGCTCACTGCAACCTCCGGCTTCCAGGTTCAAGCGATTCTCCTGCCTCAGCCTCCTGAGTAGCTGGGATGACAGTCACCTGCCACCATGCCCGGGCTAATTTTTGTATTTTTAGTAGAGATGGGGTTTCACCATGTTGGCCAGTCTGGTCTCAAACTCCTGACCTCAAGTGATCCACCCGCCTTCGCCTCCCATAGTGCTGGGATGACAGGCGTGAGCCACCGCAGCAGGCTGGGGTGCAGCTAACTTGAAAGCAGGACACTCAGTGGGAGCCTTCAGGCTTTTTTTTTTTTTTGAGATGGAGTCTTGCTCTGTCACCCAGGCTGGAGTGCAGTGGTGTGATCTCGGCTCACTGAAACCTCCGCCTCCCGGGTTCAAACGATTCTCCTGCCTCAGCCTCCTGAGTAGCCGGGATTACAGGTGCCCGCCACCACACCTGGGTAATTTTGTATTTTTAGTAGAAATGGGGTTTCTCCATGTTGGCCAGGCTGGTCTTGAACTCTTGACCTCAGGTGATCCACACGCCTCGGCCTCCCAAAGTGCTGGGATGACAGGCGGGAGCCACCGCGCCTGGCTGCCTTCGGACCTCTCGGTGGGAGGAACGTGTGGGTCCTATCCAAGCATCAGCTCTGTCTCCTACCTGCTCTCACCTCCGTGGGCACGCCTGGTTCTCGGCACCCGTGGCAGCCGGGCTGTTGAGCCTCGGCTGGGGTTTGCAGAGGTTTTCTGGGAAGAGCTACTCCAATTCAGGCGGACTGGCAGATCTGGAGAATTCCATGACCCCGGGGACCCAGGGCAGCTGTCGTGACTGTGGGGTGCAAGGACCTGGTGGCCAGGTGGATCCCAGGCATTGCGATGGGCTCCACGGTGAGCTGTGGAAAAGAGCCTGGGTCCTGGATTTTATGTCTGGGAATCTGCTGACCACACTTGCCCAACTGCTTTACTCATAGTGGTAAAAGCAGCTACTTTTAGGCTGGGCACGGTGGCTCACGCCTGTAATCCCAGCACTTTGGGAGGCTGAGGCGGGTGCATCCCCTGAGGTCAGGAGTTCGAGACCAGCCTGGCCAACATGGCGAAACCCTGTCTCTACTAAAAATACAAAAATCACCTAGGCATGGTGGCATGCGCCTGTAATCCCAGCACTTTGGGAGGCTGAGGCGGGCGGATCACCCGAGGTCAGGAGTTCGAGACCAGCCTGGCTAACGTGTCGAAACCCTGTCTCTACTAAAAATACAAAAATCACCTGGGCATGGTGGCATGTGCCTGTAATCCCAGCTACTCAGGAGTCTGAGGCAGGAGAATTGCTTGAACCCAAGAGGCCGAGGTGGCAATGAGCTGAGATCGCGACATTTCACTCCAGCCTGGGTGACAAAGACTGAAACTCCGACTCAAAAAAAAAAAAAAAGAATGTTGTTGATGTCTGCCCCAAAGCAGCTTGCTTTAGTTATAGTGTTAAAAGTGGCTACTTTTAGGCCGGGCATGTTGGCTCACACCTGTCATCCCAGCGCTTTGAGAGGCCGAGGTGGGCGGATCACCTGAGGTCAGGAGTTTGAGACCAGCCTGGCCAACATGGTGAAACCCCATCTCTACTAAAAATACAAAAATCACCTGGTCACGGTGGTGGGCACCTGTAATTGCAGCTACTCGGAAGGCTGAGGCAGGAGAATTGCTTGAACCCGGGAGGCGGAGGTTGCAGTGAGCCGAGATCACACCATTGCACTCCAGCCTCGGTGGCAGAGTGAGACTGTGTCTAAATAAATAAATAAATAAATAAATAAATAAATAAATAAATAATTTGGGGCCGGGCGCGGTGGCTCACACCTGTAATCCCAGCACTTTGGGAGGCCGAGGCGGGTGGATCACGAGGTCAGGAGATCAAGACCATCCTGGCTAACACGGTGAAACCCCGTCTCTACTAAAAATACAAAAAAAATTAGCCGGGCGTGGTGGCGGCGCCTGTAGTCCCAGCTACTCGGGAGGCTGAGGCAGGAGAATGGCGTGAACCCGGGAAGCGGAGCTTGCAGTGAACCGAGATCGCGCCACTGCACTCCAGCCTGGGCGACAGAGCGAGACTCCATCTCAAAACAAAGAAACAAGCAAACAAACAAAAAAAAACTTAAAAATTAGCCAGCTGTGGTGGTGCACACCTATAGTCCCAGCTACTCAGGAGGCTGAGGCAGGAGAATGGGGTGAACCCGGGAGGCCGAGCTTGCAGTGAGCTGAGATGGCACCACTGCACTCCAGGCTGGGCGACAGAGCGAGACTCCGTCTCAAAAAAAAAAAACAAACTTAAAAATTAGCCAGCTGTGGCGGTGCACACCTATAGTCCCAGCTACTCAGGAGGCTGAGGCAGGAGGATTGCCTGAGCCTAGGAGGTCGAGGCTGCAGTTAGCTGTGATCGCACCACTGCACTCCAGCCTGGGCAACAGACCAAAACCTCGTCTCCAAAAAAAAAGTAAATAAATAAAGTTGCAATGACTCCCATTGCCGATTCAAAGAGCTTTTATGAATGTCTCAATATACTTGCCTAGCCTGTTTTTGGATTCAAACGCAAAGTTTTGTTCACCGTAGGTGGGAGATCAAGTTGGCAACAATAGTGTTCCAAGGTAATACACCCTGTATCTCAGAGAAATTGAAATATAACCATCTCAGAGGTTTTTTGTTTCTTTGGTTTTTTGAGACTGTCTCAAAGAAAAAAATTGAAACCCTGCTCCAGGGCTAGGAACCCACAAATTTGAGCACAGCTGTCACTGTCGGTATCAAACTTGTCTTTATTTTTTCAGCTGAGGTCTTGCTCTGTTGCCCAGGCTGGAGTGCAGTGTTGGGATCTCAGCTCCTTGCAGCCTCAACCCTCTGGGCTCCACCAATCCTCCTGCATCAGCCTCCCGAGTAGCTGGGACTACAGGTGTGCGCCACCATGCCTGGCCAATTTTAAATTTGTTTTTTGAGAGATGGGGGTCTTGCAATATTGTCCAGGCTGGTTTCAAACTCCTGGCCTCAAGCGATGCTCTCATATCGGCCTCCTGAGTGGTTGGGACTACGAGCGTGAGCCACCATGCTCGGCTGATTTTATTTTTAAATTGTTTGTAGAGGCCAGGTGCAGTGGGTCTTGCCTGTAATCCCAGCACTTTGGGAGGCCGAGGCCGGTGGATTGCTTGAGCCCAGGAGTTCAAGACCAGCCTTGCCAGTATGGCAAAACCTCATCTCTACTAAAAAAAAAAATACAAAAAAAAAAATTAGCCAGGTGTGATGGTGTGTGCCTGTTATCCCAGCTACTCGGGAGAGTAAGGCAGGAGAATTGCTTGAACCTGGGAGGCGGACGTTGCAGTGAGCTGAGATCGTGGGTGACAGCGAAAGTCTGTCTCAAAAAGAAAAAAAAAAATCAATGGTTTGTGAAAATACAGCCGGTGACCATGGACCCCCCTAGGCACAGCCTCAAGCCACCCAGAAGAAGATGGAAAAGGATTTTCTTTTAAATCAGCGAGATTTAAATAAGCATGGCGAGCACAGCTGGGAGGCCCCGCCAGGAATTCCGAAGGTTGAAAGGGGCCCTGTCCGCTCCCCCATCCTGGAAATAGTGTCCATGGAGCTGCGGAGTCCGGGTGGGCGCCGGGGACGAGCTTTCAACAGCTCACCCGGCCCCAACATTCCGTCCACACATTCCACGGCCAAGACAGTCACCCCCTGCCAGGGATTAACCGAGGGCCACGCTTAGTGGCAGGAATGCACGCGCCCGATTTAGACATCCCGCTTGGCATCGGCGGTCAGGGTGGCTTGCAAAGGCCCGGGGTGGGTGGATGCCGGAGACGCTGGAGCTCTGAGGTCTACAGGAGGAATTGCTTTTCCGATGGGCTGGTCAGGGAGGAAGGAAGCTGGGGAGAAGCCGGGAGTCCCAGCCTCCACAATGCCTGCCCTTCCAAGACGAGCCAGGCCCCCCGGACAGGATGGCAGCCCCCCTCCAGGCCAGCATGACTTCAGGCCTGGGGAATGTGCCACCTTCCGAATTAGAAGGGCACTGGTTCCCACCCGCGGGGAACCGTAACACAGCGTCTCCCTCCTTCCTCCAGGACCCACGGCTGAGCTCGGAGCTGCCCGAGAGCTCGGGATGTGGGGTGCAGAGCAGAGGAGAAACCTCCCCCGACCCCGGGTCCTTGGGGCATAGGGTCTTTTTCAGGGCCATCTGCGGAAAGAGGACCTGCGTCTTTACCACCCGGGGGCCCTTGTCTTTGCTGCTCAGCTGTGTTTAGGTCCCCGTTGCTGGGTGATACTGGGGAGACGTAAACAGACCTCGGTCAGCCGGGGCTGGGGCAGGAGCAGGTGCAGCTGGACTCCAGGGCAGGGGCCGACTGCTGTACACAGTCATGCTGAAAAGCATGTCAAAAATAAAAGGAGCAGGGGAAATGGCACCTTTTATTTTTTATTTTATTATTATTATTATCATTTTTGAGATGGAGTTTTGCTCTTGTTACCCAGGCTGGAGTGCAATGGTGTGATCTCGGCTCACTGCAACCTCCGCCTCCCGGGTTCAACGGATTCTCCTGCCTCAGCCTCCCGAGTAGCTGGGATGACAGGTGCCCACACCACGCCCAGCTAATTTTTGTATTTTTAGTGGAGATGGGGTCTCGCCGTGTCGGCCAGGCTGTTCTTGAACTCCTGACCTCAGGTGATCCGCCAGCCTCGGCCTCCCAAAGTGCTGGGACTACAGGCGTGAGCCACCGCGCCCGGCCTATTTTTTATTTATTTTATTATTAATATTTTTGAGGCGGAGTTTCACTCTTGTTGCCCAGGCTGGAGTGCGGTGGCGGGATCTCGGCTCACTGCAACCTCCGCCTCCCGGGTTCAAGTGATTCTCCTGCCTCAGTCTCCCAAAGTGCTGAGATTACAGGCGTGCACCACCACGCTCGGCTAATTTTGTGTTTTTAGTAGAGACGGGGTTTCACCATGTTGGTCAGGCTGGTCTCGAACTCCTGACCTCAGGTGATCCACCCTCCTCTGCCTCCCAGAGTGCTGGGATGACAGGTGTGAGCCACCTCACCTGGCCCTATTTTATTTTTATTTTTTGCAAGGAAGGAATGAAGGGATTTATTGAAAATGGAAGTACCCTCCACAGCGCGGGAGGAGACCGAGAAGAGGAGCTCAAAGACTAAAGGGACGGGCTTTTAAAGACATTTAATTAAAAGGAATTAAGTTTCCCTTATGACATTTAGAAAAAAGTCAAGTCCAAATGGTACAAAACGGTCAGCTTGCTTTGTGCCTTGGCGGCCGCGTATGAAACATCATTAGAATAGAACCGGAAGCGTCTAGATTTTCACTTTTCACCCTGAAAGATGAAACAGAGATGAAAGCAGTCACCAATTTTCTCTAATTATTTTGCAATTAAGCGTCCGAGCACCCCAGGTAGCGTGGACTCCCACAGCTCTTAAACCAAATACCTGACTGTCTGAAATTAATTATAAAAATGGATCAAGGGGTGGTTTTCACGTGGTGGCTGATGAATGCTTTCTGAGTCTTGTTTTCCTGTTTGTTTACCGTGGCACGTAAGACGTACAGAACATAAAATTCACCGTGTGAGCCATTTTTCGTTTGTTTGTTTTTGAGACGGAGTCTCGCTCTGTCACCCAGGCTGGAGTGCAGTGGTGTGATCTCGGATCACTGCAACCTCCGCCTCCTGGTTCAAGCGATTCTCCTGCCTCAGCCTCTTGAGGAGCTGGGACTGCAGACATACACCATCACACCTGGCCAATATTTAATTTTTTTTGTAGAGACAGGGTCTTGCTCTGTGGCCCAGGCTGGAGTGCACTGGTGCAATCTCCGCTCACTGCAGCCTCCACCTCCTGGGCTCAGGTGATCCTCCCACCTCAGCCTCCTGAGGAGCTGGGACTACAGACATACACCATCACACCTGGCCAATATTTAATTTTGTTGTAGGGACAGGCTCTTGCTCTGTGGCCCAGGCTGGAGTGCAGTGGTGCAATCTCAGCTCACTGCAGCGTCCACCTCCTGGGCTCAGGTGATCCTCCTGCCTCAGCTTCCTGAGGAGCTGGGACTACAGACAGGTGCCACCACTCCCAGCTAATTTTTAAATTTTTTTGTAGGGACAGACTCTTGCTCTGTTGCCCATGGTGATCTTGAACACCTGGGCTTGATGTATCTGCCCGCCCAAATCCCGCCTTTCATTTACACTGCCCCCACCCCTGCCCACCCCAGGGAAGGTCTTTATTCTTAAATCTGCCTTTCTGACCTCTCTTCCCAAATGTGTGTATTTCTAACAGATCTCCGAGTCCAGATCACGCACACCGTTTTCCATAATCCAGGGATTTGGAGCCGCCGGAGGGGTGAGGAGGGGAGGCGGCCGTGACTGCTAGGTGGAGGTGGGCTCTCGTAAACGTCGTTTTACGGGCAGGTGGAAACCTTTATAAGCCCACAAATACTTCAAGCCTGTTCCTGCCCCTGGGGCCCTGGAGACTTCTCAGAGGACCTAACGGGACCTGGCGAAAGGCCTTCATCACCAGCCCACTAGGAACTGTTCACCGTGTGCCCGGGGCTGCGTCTGGCACGGAGGTGAACGCTGAAGCCATCCCCCCACCCCCAGATCCCCAAGACGAGAGAGCGTTCCGTGAGGTCCAAATAAACGTCCCTCCTGGCACCTTCAAGGATGTGGTTTTTCTTTTCTTTTTTTTCGAGGCAGGGTCTTGGTCTGTTGCCCAGGCTGGGGTGCAGTGGCATGATCTTGGCTCACTGCAGCCTCCAATCCTTGGGCTCAAGCGATCCTCCTGCCTCAGCCTCCCGAGTAGCTGGGACCACAGGCATGCACCACTGTGCCAGCCTCATTTTGTATTTTCTGTAGAGATAGGGTCTCCCTATGTAGCCCAGGCTGGGGTGCAGTGGCATGATCTTGGCTCACTGCAGCCTCCAATCCTTGGGCTCAAGCGATCCTCCTGCCTCAGCCTCCCGAGTAGCTGGGACCACAGGCATGCACCACTGTGCCAGCCTCATTTCGTATTTTCTGTAGAGATAGGGTCTCCCTATGTAGCCCAGGCTGGGGTGCAGTGGCATGATCTTGGCTCACTGCAGCCTCCAATCCTTGGGCTCAAGCGATCCTCCTGCCTCAGCCTCCCGAGTAGCTGGGACCACAGGCATGCACCACCGTGCCAGCCTCATTTTGTATTTTCTGTAGAGATAGGGCCTCCCTATGTTGCCCACGCTGCTCTGAAACTCTGGGCTCCAGCGATCCTCCCATCTCGGCCTCCCAAAGTGCTGGGATTACAGGTGTGCAGTACGGCTCCCAGCCCTGATGTTGGGTTTGGAGAACAAGAGGGTGATACGTCGCCAAATTCAAACTCACGTCCTCCTGCTTCTGAGCATGTAGGGAGCTGGTGGGCGGGGAGGTGGGTGTGGGGCTGCGGCTCTGGGCTCCCCGGGTGCCCACGCTGAGCTGTCCAGGAGGCTGACAGGGAGGACGTCCCTTCGGTATCCCCCTTTTGCCACAGAAGAGCCCGTGTGGACCCCTGAGTCCCGGACCACCGGGCAGCCAACGCCATCTTGGGGTCTCCGGATTGAGACCCCAAGAGAGGGTACCTGGATCTCGTGCAAGAAAGAATTCACGGCAAGTTTGCAGTGCAAAATAAAAGCAAGTTTATTTAGAAAGTAAAATGGGGCCGGGCGCGGTGTTTCACGCCTGTCATCCCAGCAGTTTGGGAGGCCAGGGCGGGTGGATCACGAGGTCAGGAGATCGAGACCAGCCTGGCCAGCACGATGAAACTCCATCTCTACTAAAAATACAAAAAATTAGCCGGACGTGGTGGTGGGCACCTGTAGTCCCAGCTACTCGGGAGACCGAGGCAGGAGGATGGCGTGAACCCGGGAGGCGGAGGTTGCAGTGAGCTGAGATCGCGCCACTGCACTCCAGCCTGGGCGACAGAGCGAGACTCTGTCTCAAAAAAAAAAAAAAAAGAAAGAAAGAATTGTCTATACGGGTACACGTGCTCTGCTACAAAGGTTCGTGATAAAGGATTAATTTTCTTAATTACTATATTTTGCAAGAATCAGTATTATAGTTATTATTTTTTGAGATGGAGTCTCGCTCTGTCGCCCAGGCTGGAGTGCGGTGGCGCGATCTCGGCTCACTGCAACCTCCACCTCCCGGGTTCAAGCCATTCTCCTGCCTCAGCCTCCTGAGTAGCTGGGACTACAGGCACCCGCCACACCCGGCTAATCGTTGTACTTTTAATAGACACGGGTTTTACCATATTGGCCAGGCTGGTCTCGAACCCCTGACTACCTGATCCGCCCGCCTCGGCCTCCCAAAGTGCTGGGATGACAGGCGTGAAACACCGCGCCCGGCCGAGAATTGGTATTATGTTTAGAGCAAACTTAGGAAAATGCCTTTGTTCTCCAGATATTAAGATACCTGGACACTCCCAAGTCTGGGGCTGTTTAGTAAATACTTTTTTTTTTTTTTTGAGATGGAGTTTCGCTCTTGTTGCCCAGGCTGGAGTGCAGTGGTGCGATCTCAGCTCACCTCAACCTCCGCCTCCCGGGTTCAAGGAATTCTCCTGCCTCAGCCTCCCGAGTAGCTGGGATGACAGGCGCCCGCCACCACGCCCGGCTAATTTTGTATTTTTTTTAGTAGAGACGGGGTTTCTCCATGTTGGTCAGGCTGGCCTCGAACTGCCAACCTCATGTGATCCACCCACCTCAGCCTTCCAACGTGCTGGGATTACAGGCGTGAGCCACCGTGCCAGTAAACATTATCAATTTCTTCCTTTTTTTTTTTTTTTCTGAGATGGAGTCTCACTCTGTCCCCAGGCTGGAGTGCAGTGGTGCCATCTCTGCTCACCGCAACCTCCACCTCCCGGGTTCAAGTGATTCTCCCGCCTCAGCCTCCTGAGCAGCTGCGATTACAGGCACCCGCCACCACGCCCGGCTAATTTTTGTGTTTTTAGTAGAGACGGGGTTTCACCGTGTTGGCCAGGCTGGTCTCGAACTCCTGACCTCGTGATCCGCCCGCCTCGGCCTCCCAGAGCGCTGGGATTCCAGGCGTGAGCCGCATTCGTTCCCTTGACCGTAAACGTCTGCAGGCGAGGAATCAGCCGTCAGTCAAGAGGGAGTCACTGCGGTTCATTCGCCTCTGACAACGGGTCCTCCCGGACGCCGCGTGGCTTGTTCTGAAGCCGGGCCGGAGACACCGTCTGGACCCCACGCTGCTCCCCAGGGCCGCCTCCAAGAGGATGCCCCACCGCAGGGAGCCGTGCAAACACCATAAATCCTGCTAATTGCCACCTTCCCGGCAGCCAGCATCCGTGGTCTCTCTATAGTGGCCTCACGGTCTCCAGCCAGGAGCTCGATCTTTGCTTCTGCACAAACATTACCGAGAAACGTCTGCAAACCCCGGGCGCCCGGCTCCCACATCACAGGCGCTGCGCCTCAGAACACAACTTGTTTCTGCCGATCCACCCCCCACCGCCGCCTCCCCGGGCACCTCGCCACGCAGGACGCTCCGGGCTTCCCGTAAGAACACCCGTGTCTGTGACCTGCGGGTGGGGTCACCTCCCCGGCCTGCATGCCAGGTGAGGCGGGGGGGGCTCACCTGGGGCTCTCACCTGCCCGAGGGGGTCCTGCCCACGGCTCTGCGACAGAATAGAATGATCAGGGCGATGCGTGGCAGTGCCCTCTCCCTGCCCCAGCCCGAGGGCACCTGTTCCCCTCCTATCTCAGCCACTCTGCCCACGTCTGTCCCCACAAAACGCGGTCGGTGCAGCCCTGGGGCCCGGTCACCGTACCGCATCCTCCTGACAAAGACAGAAAGAAACCGGCTCTTTGATTCTAACATTAAAAAAAAAAGGGCTGCCTTCTGCTTGCAAAAGAAATGCACGCAGGCTGCTGGCAGAAAGTTCTGGAAGATGATAAAGGAAAAAAATAAATTAATTCGAGAAAACTTTGAGACGCCTAACAGCACAAATACCCTCAGTCTTTAGAGAACAGCTGGGGATACACATATTCTGGCTCATTTCCCCATGGAACTTTTATTTTTATTTTTTGAGATGAGTCTCTCTGTGTCGCCGAGGCTGGAGTGCAATGGTGCGATCTCAGCTCACTGCAACCTCCGCCTCCCGGGTTCAAGCGATCCTCCTGCCTCAGCCTCCCAATAGCTGAGACGACAGGCGCCTGCCACCACGCCCGGCTAATTTTTGTATATTTACTAGAGACGGGGTTTCACCGTGTTGGCCAGGCTGGTCTCAAGCTCCTGACCCCAGGTGATCCGCCCGCCTCGGCCTCCCAGAGTGCTGGGATTATGGGTGGGAGCCACCGCGCCCGGCCCCTCTTCCTTCCTTCCCTTCCTTCCTTCCCTTCCTTCCTTCCCTTCCTTCCTTCCCTTCCTTCCTTCCCTTCCTTCCTTCCCTTCCTTCCTTCCTTCCCTCCCTTCCCTCCCTCCCTTACCTCCCTTCCCTCCCTCCTTTCCTTTCCTTCCCTTCCTTTCCTTCCTTCCTTCTTTCTTTTTCCTTTTCTTTTTGAGATGTAGTCTCACTCTGTGGCCCAGGCTGGAGTGCAGTGGTGTGATCTCGGCTCACTGCAACCTCCGCCTCCCAGGTTCAAGCGATTCTCCTGCCTCAGCCTCCTGAGTAGCTGGGACGACAGACGCCCGCCACCATGCCCGGCTAATTTTTGTGTTTTTTTAGGTAGACATGAGGTTTCACCACATCGGCCAGGCCGGTCTCAAGCTCCTGACCTCCAGTGATCCGCCCGCCTCCGCCTCCCAAAGTGCTGGGATGACAGGCGTGAGCCACCGCGCTTGTCCTGCTCTGTAAATTTTGTTTTGGGCCAGGCGTGGTGGCTCACACCTGCAGTCCCAGCACTACGGGAGGCCGAGGCACGAGGGTCGCTGGAGGCCACGAGTTTGAGTCCCCCAGCCTGGGTAACGTAACGAGACCGTGTCTTTAAAAATCATAAAAGACAGATCAGCTGGGCGTAGTGACACGGGTGCCTGTCGCCCCGGCTCCTGAAGAGGCTGAGGTGGGAGGATCGCTTTAGCCCAGGAGTTGGAGGCTGTAGCGAGCTGTGATCTCACCACCGCACTCCAGCCTGGGCGACAGAGCAAGATCTTGTCTCGAAAACAAAACAAAACAAAACACAAAAATTTAAAAAACAGATTGAGAACCCTTGGCCCCCACCTCTTACCAGCTCGGTCACAATTGCAAACCAGAGGCCGGGCACGGTGGCTCACGCCTGTCATCCCAGCGCTTCGGGAGGCCGAGGCGGGTGGATCATGAGGTCAGGAGCTCGAGAACATCCTGGCCAACATGGAGAAACCCCATCTCTACTGAAAATACAAACTTAGCCGGGCGTGGTGGCTCACGCCTGTCATCCGAGCACTTTGGGAGGCCGAGGCGGGCGGATCACGAGGTCAGGAGCTCAAAAGCAGCCTGACCAACATGGAGAAAGCCTGTCTCTACTAAAAATACCAACTTAGCCGGGCATGGTGGTGCACGCCTGTCATCCCAGCGCTTCGGGAGGCCGAGGCGGGCGGATCATGAGGTAGGGAGCTCGAGACCAGCCTGACCAACATGGAGAAACCCTGTCTCTACTAAAAATACAAAATTAGCCGGGCGTGGTGGTGGCAGGTGCCTGCAATCCCAGTTACTCAGGAGAGGCTGAGGCAGGAGAATCGCTTGAACCCGGGAGGCGGAGGTTGCAGTGAGCCGAGATCGCACCCCTGCACTCCAGGCTGGGCAACAGAGCAAAAACTCTGTCTCAAAAATAATATAATAATAATAATAATAATAATAATAATAATAAAAACAACTGTTTTCATGCTGCAGACAGCACACAGGCCAGGACGTCAGGGTCTCGTGAGGGGCCGTCGGAGAACGTCTAAGGGACGTCCCTGCATTCCTGGCTGGAGGTCCTGCGCCAGCGCCCTCCTTGTGAGAACACTTTCGCTCTGCAAACTCTCAGAGCCCCCACCTGCTCCCGCCTCCCGTCTGTCCTGGTTCTTGGGACCCCGGAGCCTTCTCTGTCCAGACCTCCCAGGTCCTGACGGGAATCCGGATAAACTCCTTGGGGCGAAGGTGTTAACGGCAGGGCCCCTGTCTAATGTATTTCGCCACCCAGATAAAATGAGTGTTTTCACAGCTGCCGTTAATTTCTTACCCTGAGGAAGAAAGGAAGGACTTTGAGGCACCTGCGGCCGGGTTGGGGTGGGGCAGGGGGATTTCTGGACGCGGACGGCGTGTGGGGAGTTCCTGGGGTCCCCAGAGCCACACCACGTAGGTGGCAGCCGGCTCCGTCCTGCAAAGCCCCGGCTTCGGTGAAAGATTTATCACCTGCTCGGCCTCGGAGACGGGGAAGAAAAACACAGCCTGGAAGTGGTCCTGGCTGATGGACGGGCCCCTGGGGAGCTGTCCCCAAATGCGCGTCTTCTTTCTCCTTTCTGTCACAGCCTCCCGGCCCTGCCCTGGCTGAGTGGGGCTTTCAGTGAACGCTTGTTGAGTGTCCACGGAGCTGTGAGTGCTGTTCCGGGTGCTGGGTACGTGGTGGGGTGTGTGAGGTTCCCTCCTCTCTAGTGCAGAGATCAGGAGTGAGTAGACAAAGAAAATAGCATCTAACTGCTGCTTGTGATGAGTTTTTTTTTTTTTTTTTTTTGAGACAGAGTCTTGCTCTTGTTACCCAGGCTGGAGAGCAATGGCGTGATCTTGGCTCACGGCAACCTCTGCTTCCGGGTTCAAGGCATCCTCCTGCCTCAGTCTCCCGAGTAGCTGGGAGTACAGGCACCTGCCACCACGCCTGGGTAATTTTGTATTTTTAGTAGAGACGGGGTTTCACCATGTTGGTCAGCCTGGTCTGGAACTCCTGACCTCAGGTGATCCATCCATCTCGGCCTCTTAAAGTGCTGGGATTACAGGCGTGAGCCGCCATGTCTGGCCTTTTTCTTTTTTTTTTTTTTTTTTTTGAGATGGTCTTGCTCTCATTGCCCAGGCTGGAGTGCAATGGTGCAATCTTGGCTCACTGCAACTTCTGCTTCCGGGTTCAAGGCATCCTCCTGCCTCAGCCTCCCGAGTAGCTGGGATTACACGTGTGCACCACCATGCCCGGCTAATTTTGTATTTTTAGTAGAGACTGGGTTTCACTATCTTAGTTAGGCTGGTCTCGAACTCCCAACCTCATGATCTGCCCGCCTCAGCCTCCCAAAGTGCTGGGATGACAGGCATGAGCCACCGCACCTGGCCTATTTTTTTTTTTTTTTTTGAGACAGAGTCTTGCTCTTACTGTGTAGGCTGGAGTACAGTGGGCGAACTCGGCTCACTGCAACCTCTGCTCCGGGGTTCAAGGCATCCTCCTGCCTCAGCCTCCCGAGTAGCTGGGATTACAGGCGCCCACCACCACTCCTGGGTAATTTTGTATTGTTAGTAGAGACTGGGTTTCACTATGTTAGTCAGGCTGGTCTCGAACTCCTGACCTCAGGTGATCCACCCACCTCGGCCTCCCAAAGTGCTGCGATGACAGGCGTGAGCCACCGTGCGTGGCCTTTTTTTTTTTTTTTTTGAGATGGAGTCTTGCTCTCATTGCCCAGGCTAGAGTGCAATGGGCGAACTCGGCTCACTGCAACCTCCACTCCCGGGTTCAAGGGATCCTCCTGCCTCAGCCTCCTGAGTAGCTGGAATGGCAGGTGCATGTCACCATGTTTGGCTAATTTTTTTTTTTTTTTTTCATAAAGACAGAGTCTTGCTAGGTTTCCCAGGCTGGTCTCAAACTCCTGGCCTCAAGTCATCCTCCCACCTCAGCCTCCCGAAGTGCTGGGATTCCAGGCGTGAGCCACCGTACCTGGCCCCTTCAGCATTTTTAAAATATCATTACCCCTTCAAAGACACCTCCAGGAGCAGCCAAAGTTGGTACCCTTGTTATTCCCCATCTCAACACCCCGTGAATTCATTTCTCCAAAAGAACTCATCACAAGCAGGCCACGTGCGGTGGCTCACACCAGTCATCCCAGCACTTTGGGAGGACAAGGCGGGTGGATCATCTGAGGTCAAGAGTTCGAGACCAGCCTGGCTAACACGGTGAAACCCCATCTCTACTAAAAATACAAAAAATTAGCCGGGCATGGTGGCGGGCACCTGTAGTCCCAGCTACTCGGGAGGCTGAGGCAGGAGAATCACTTGAACCCGGGAGGCAGAGGTTGCAGTGAGCCAAGATCGTGCCACTGCCCTCCAGCCTGGGCAACAGAGCGAGACTCCGTCTCCAAAAAAAAAAAAAAGTGCTGAAAAGAAGCAAGAAGGAGGAGCTGGCTGTGCGCAGGGAAAAGCAATGCAGGAAGAAGGATCAGCGTGTGCAAAGACTCTGAGCTGGGAAAAACCTCTGTGTATTCCGAGAACCGAGACAGGGAGGCAGGCTTAGGGTGGAGAGGAGGATGGCAAGGTGGAGGGTTGAAGGGTTTCCCAGCAGCCTGCAGGGCTGATTGGGAGCTCAGATACTCCATGACAAGGACAAAGGGAAGGGGTCTGTATGCAGCTGTGTCTCCGCTCTCTTTCTTGCTCAGAGCATGGAGACCTCGAGTCCAGCTTCCTTTGCGTGCGTAGGGGCCTCTCTGGGTGATGGAGCCCTCCCGAGTGGTAGGTTGGGAGAACCACAGAATTAACCGCACCCTCCAGAGTCTCTCCCAACCAAGGGCTGTCGACGGTGGGTGCATAAATACCTGGGAGGGGCCGGGTGCGGTGGTTCACGCCTGTCATCCCAGCACTTTGGGAGGACAAGGCGGGCGGATCACCTGAGGTCAAGAGTTCGAGACCAGCCTGGTCAACATGGTGCAACCCCCCCGCCTCTGCTAAAAATACAAAAAATTAGCTGGGTGTGGTGGCGGGCGCCTGTAATCCCAGCTAGTCGAGAGGCTGAGGCAGGAGAATCGCTTGAACCCGGGAGGCAGAGGTTGCAGTGAGCTGAGATGGCACCACTGCACTCCAGCCTGGGTGAGAGAAAGAAACTGTCTAAAATAAACAGGGAAAACACCTCTGGGGCTTATGTCTTTCCCGCCTGCATCCGATGAACCTTAGGTGACCGCTGGGGACGGTACTGAGGGTTCCAGGCAGAGGAAAGCCACATCTGCATGCAGAGAAAACTCCAGTGGGGACAGAGGGGGTGCATCGTGTTTAGAAGCCACGTGGGGGGTGGGGGGGCAGGTGTGTCTCATCGCACACGTGTGAACGGAGTGCCGGGGGCCCCTCTTCTCCTGAGCCCCCAAAGGCACGAGCCGGTGGGTCTCGGGAGTTGTGGGGCGATTCCTGGAGGTGGCTCTGTGCAAAGTGTTGTCATATCAGCCAGGAAAACACCCCCTTGCCACAGCCTCAAGTCAACCCAATCTCGTCTGAAAGGTTTGGATGGAGGTGGGGGGGTCCCTGGCTTCCGTCGCTGGAGCGGTGGCCGCAGGGCTGGTCTTCACTGTCATCGTGATGTCACCATCGTCCTCACGTTGGGTGTCTCCCTGGATTCTCGGCTCTCCAGGGAGGCGGCGACGGCCCATCCCACCAGCTGCCCACGGAGGCGGGGTCCCCGGGATGCAGGCTTGACCTCAGAGGAAAACCCACCTGAGCCATTCTAGGGGGAGGGGACACCAGGACCCCCCAAAGGCCTGGTCGGCTGAGGTCATGGTTCATCCCGGGGTTGGGGGAGGGGACACCAGGACCCCCCAAAGGCCTGGTCGGCTGAGGTCATGGTTCATCCCGGGGTTGGGGGAGGGGACACCAGGACCCCCCAAAGGCCTGGTCGGCTGAGGTCATGGTTTATCCCGGGGTTGGGGGAGGGGACACCAGGACCCCCCAAAGGCCCGGTCAGCTGAGGTCATGGTTCATCCCGGGGTTGGAGCAGAACGGGCCGTGGAGGATGGGCTCAGGGAGTGTTTGTTCATGGCGTGAATTCACACGGAATCTTCCTGCCTCCCTCCTTCCTTCCTTCTTTCCTCCCTCCCTCCGTCCTTTCGTTCCCTCCTTCCTTCCAATTTCCTCCCTCTCTCCCTCCCTGCCTTTCTTTGTGGACAGCCTGGCATCTGCACCGTGTCCTGGCTGAGCCTCCTGCCAGCTCTGCGGCCTCGTTGAGGGGGGCGGGGTGCGTGTCTCACCATCTTTGCACCTCAGCTTCCCCATCTGTGACGCAGGGACGGCAACAGGCACCCCTCGAGGTCACCCCTCCAGCATTTGTTTACAGCTGTCTCACATGAACTTAGATCCATGGAAGAGCGTCACCCTGACTCGTCAACCTGCAAAAACGGCCCAGGACAGAGAGGGGGGCCCTTGGGATGGTGGCGGCCGGGACCCGAGGCTGTTGTCCGGTCGTAGAGCCTTAGAGGCTGTTGGCGGTGTAGACGCGGGTCCCAGGCTGCAAGCTGCCTCTCTCCTCTGCCTCAGGCTCTTCTTTTCTATTTATTTATTTTTAAGACAGGGTCTCGCTCTGTCACCCAGGCTGGAGTGCAGTGGTGCCATCTCGGCTCACAGCAGCCTCCAACTCCTGGGCTCAAGCCGTCCTCCCGCCTCAGCCTCCCGAGCAGCGGAGACCACAGGCATGTGCCGGGCTAATTTTCTAATGTTTTGTAGAGATGACGTCTTTGCTACGTTGCCCAGGCTGGTGTTGAACTCCTGGGCTCAAGGCCTCCTCTCGCTCTGGTCTCCCAAAGTGCTGGGATTAGAGGTGTGAGCCACCGCGTCTGGCCAAGACGTCTTTTGGGGGGGACATAATTCTCAACCAAATTGCCTCTGTCTCTCCTTCTCACTCTCTCTCTCTCCACACACACACACACACACACACACACACACACAGCTTGTATGTATATACGCATTTATACAGGTGTGGAGGTGTTTGTGCATATATAGATATATATGATATATACGTATATTTAAGCCATTAGAACATGATTTCCATTGCTAATATTTCAGTGAATATCTCTTTTCTAGCTCTAACTCCACACACACACACAGACACACAGACACATCCCTTGTATGTATATATGCATTTATACAGGTGTGGAGGTATTTGTGCATATAGAGATATATATGATCTAGATGTATATTTAACCCATTAGAAAATGATTTTCATGCTGATAGTACTTCAGTGAATATCTCTTAAAAATATTGATCGCACACGTCCCTCATGAAAAGCAATGGTTCCCTAAACACAGACTGTCTGGTCCATCTCGGAGTTTCCACAGTCGTGACTCACATGCAAGCAATGTACAACTATGGCAGGGCTGGGCTCCTTCCCTCCCAGACAGGCTCAAGGTTATGCTCCCTGTGCCGGGATCAGAATCTGGAATCAGGACGGCCACTCCAGTGACATGAAAGGCACACGGGTGACAGGACGGACACCCCAGAGACAGGACGGACGCCCCAGAGACAGGACGGACGCCCCAGAGACAGCACGGAGACCCCAGAGACAGCACGGACACCCCCAGAGACAGGACGGACACCCCAGAGACAGGACTGATGCCCCAGAGACAGGACGGACGCCCCCAGAGACAGCACGGAGACCCCAGAGACAGGACGGACGCCCCAGAGACAGGACTGATGCCCCAGAGACAGGACGGACGCCCCCAGAGACAGCACAGAGACCCCAGAGACAGGACGGACGCCCCAGAGACAGGACGGAGACCCCAGAGACAGCACGGATGCCCCAGAGACAGGACGGAGGCCCCAGAGACAGCACGGACGCCCCAGAGACAGGACGGACGCCCCAGAGACAGGACGGACACCCCAGAGACAGCACGGACGCCCCAGAGACAGGACGGACGCCCCAGAGACAGGATGGAGGCCCCAGAGACAGCACGGACGCCCCAGAGACAGGACGGACGCCCCAGAGACAGCACGGACGCCCCAGAGACAGGACGGACGCCCCAGAGACAGGACGGGCGCCCCAGAGACAGGACGGACGCCCCAGAGACAGGACGGACACCCCAGAGACAGCACGGACGCCCCAGAGACAGGACGGCCGCCCCGGCCCCGCGTTTTCCATGACATATTTTCTCTTCGGCCACAGGATGGCAGTGCCAGCTACGGAAACGGTGGACCGTTGTCGGACCCTTTGCTGAGTTTTGAAACACGTCACTGCCTTCAGCCTTGTGGGTCCCCGGGCTGCGAACCCCGGGACCGCCTTCCCGCCTCGTGGGCCGGGGCTCAGGTCTTTACATTCATCCCAAACCGGGTTCAAGCCCCATCCCTCCCCCGGCTGCCAACCCCGTGCCGTTCAGGCCCCGTAACCGGCTACTTCGGAACTGACGTCGTGAAACCTTTGCTCGACTGTGTTTCTGACGCTCCCGTCACAGAACAGAAGCTGTCGGGAGTGAGCAATGGTCTAGCCCAGGAGAGGAAAATCAGCCGCGTTTCACTTTGCACCGTCATCTCCTCAGCCGCCCCGTTCCCTCCCACACTTGCAAGATTCCGAGGGAGGAAGCCGCTTCTCGGACCCGGGTCCCAAGCTGTGCAGAAAAGGCCAAGGACACATTTCCGTGTCTGTAGACGCAGCAGGCGGCCGCCAGGGCCTCTTGGGCAAAAGACTCCCATTCCCGGCTTTGCCTGCAGACACCCCTCCTCACACGGGCTCTGGAGGTCTGTTGGGGTTTTCCTCAAAAAGTTTATTTTTTTTGTGGTTTGCTTTTCTAGACAGGGTCTCATTCTGTCATCCGGGGGCTGGAGCACGGCGGGAATGATCTCGGCTCAGAGCAGCCTCCGGCTACTGTGGCCTCAAGTGATCCTCCCGCCTCAGCCTCCCGAGTAGCCGGGACCAGAGGCACCTGCCACCACGCCCAACTCATTTTTTTGTATTTTTTTGTATTTTTTGTAGAGACGGGGTTTCTCCATGTTGCCTGGGCTGGTCTTGAACTCCTGGGATCAAGCCGTCCAGCACCTCAGCCTCCCAACGTGCCGGGATGACGGGTGTGAGCCACCGCACCGGGCCTATTTTATTTTATTATTTCTTTTGTAGAAATTGTTTAAGTGGCTACAAAAGTCCACAAACATCCTCCCTGAGATTCTCCCTTAGAATAATCGTCTTCGTGGGCACACAGCATGTGCTGCTGCTGACCTGAGTGGCCTCGGCTCGACGTCTAGACGGCTCAGCGTTTGGACAGTTTCCAATCAGGGTCTGTCACCCAGGCTGGAGTCTGGGTGTGATCTCGGCTCACTGCAGCCTGTTTCCTCCCTCCCTTCCTTTCCTCCCTCCTTCCTTTCCTCCGTCCCTCCTTTCCTCCCTCCTTCCTTTCCTCCCTCCCTGCCTCTCTTCCTTCCTTTCTTCCTGGACAGCCTGGCATCTGCACCGTGTCCTGGCTGAGCCTCCTGCCAGCTCTGTGGCCTCGTTGAGGGGGGCGTGTCTCACCATCTTTGCACCCCAGTTTCCCCATCTGTGAGGCAGGGACGGAAACAGGCACCCCTCGAGGTCACCCCTCCAGCATTTGTTTACAGCTGTCTCACATGAACTTAGATCCATGGAAAAGCGTCACCCTGACTCGTCGAGCTGCAAAAACGGCCCAGGACAGAGAGGGGGGCCCTTGGGATGGTGGCGGCCGGGACCCGAGGCTGTTGTCCAGTCATAGAACCTCAGAGCCTGTTCAAATCAGGGTCTCGCTCTGTCACCCAGGCTGGAGTCTGGGTGTGATGTCGGCTCACCGCAGCCTCCACCTCCTGGGCTCGAGCGATTCTCCTGCCTCAGCCTCCGGAGGAGCTGGGACCACAGGTGCCCGCCACCACGCTGGGCCGATTTTTACAGTTTTTGTAGAGATGGGGCCTCACTGTGTTGTCCAGGCTGGTCTTGAACTGTTAACCTCAAGCGATCCTCCTGCCTCGGCCATCCAGGGTCCTGCAATGATGGGCGTGAGCCACTGTGCCTGGCCTATTTTTTATTGCTGAGGGTTTTGCAGAAATCATGTAAGAAGTGGCCGGACGCAGTGACTCACGCCTGTCATCCCAGCACTCTGGGAGGCCGAGGCGGGTGGATCACCAGAAGTCAGGAGTTCGAGACCAGCCTGGGCAACATGGCGAAACCCCGTCTCTACTAAAATACGAAAGAAATTGGCTGGGAGTGGTGGCAGGTGCCTGTAGTTCCAGCTACTCAGGAGGTTGAGGCAGGAGAATTGCTTGAACCTGGGAGGTGGAGGTTGCAGTGAGCTGAGATCGCACCATTGCACTCCAGCCTGGGCAACGAGAGTGAAACTCCATCTCAAAAAAAGAAAAAAAGGCTGGACACAGTGGCTCACGCCTGTCATCCCAGCACTTTGGGAGGCTGAGGCGGACAGATTGCCTGAGCTCAGGAGTTCGAGACCAGCCTGGCCAACATGTTGAAACCCCGTCTCTACTAAAATACAAAAGAAATTAGCTGGGAGTGGTGGCAGGTGCCTGTAATCCCAGCTACTCAGGAGGCTGAGGCAGGAGAATTGCTTGAACCTGGGACACGGAGGTTGCAGTGAGACGAGATTGCCCCATCGCACTCCAGCCTGCAACAGAGCGAGACTCCTTAACAAGGGAGGCTATTCTGACACCTGCTACCATGTGGAAGAAGCTTGACAATATTGACCAATCAGCCAGACACAGAAAGACAAGTCCTGTGTGATTCCACTTCGAGGAGGTCCCTCGAGTCACCAGAGTCACAGAGACAGAAAGTATAACGGTGGGTGCCGGGGGCTGAGGAGGGCGAATGGAGCTGTCGTTGAAGGGGGGGGTCGCAGTTTCGGGTTTAGAAGTGGAATTTTGGAGACAAATCACGGGGATGGTTGCAGAAAAGTGTGAGCGTGCTTGTTACCCCGGAACTGTGCACATAAAGATGTCTCACCTGTTGGCCGGGCGCGGTGGCTCACGCCTGTCATCCCAGCACTTGGGGAGGCCGAGGTGGGTGGATCACTTGAGGTCAGGAGATCAAGACCAGCCTGGCTAACATGGTGAAACCCCGTCTCTACTAAAAATACAAGAAAAAAATTAGCCGGGTGTGGTGGCGGGCACCTGTAGTCCCAGCTGCTCGGGAGGCTGAGGCAGGAGAATGGCATGAACCCGGGAGGCGGAGGTTGCAGTGAGCTGAGATCGCACCACTGCACTCCAGCCTGGGCGACAGAGCGAGACTCCATCTCAAACAAACAAAAAAGGGCTCGTGTGTATGAGGCTGGGGACGCAGGAGAGGGTCTCTCCCCCTGAAACTCGGGGGGTCCTGGGAAAGAATCCAGCCTCCAGCCTGGCCCTGGGAACCCTGGACCAGGCAGGGGGTCACTGCCCCCTTCCTGGGGAGTCTCAGCTGAAAATAGCTCATCTCACAGGGGACCCGCACGGCTGACGTCCAGGACGAGCCCGAGACTCCTCAAGAAAAGCCTCGTGTTAAACACACGTGTGTCTCCTCGCCTGCCGGTTTAATGCCCAGTCGTGGGGTCCTGGGTTGTGGCCACGAAGTCCTATTCCTCTGTCGCCAGGGTGAGAAGGTGGCTGTCGGCAGGGATTTTGGGATCAGGCAGGTGACTTCTCACGAAGGCTGGTTTCTCAGCCTCACATCTGCCGACATCGGGGGCTGGAGGATTCTCCGTCGTGGGGCGTCCTGTGCCCTGTGGGGTGTCGGGGACATGTTCTCACTCGGAGGACACATTGATTCAAACCATAGGATACACAGTTGATTCATACATGTATGATTGATAGGTGATTGGTTGACAGATAGTTGATGGATAGATATTGATATAGATGCATGATTAATAGGTGATTGACAGATGATAGACATTAATATAAATGTATGATTGATTGGTTGACAGATGATAGATAATTGATATAGATGCATGATTAATAGGTGATTGACAGATAATTGATAGGCATTAATATAAATGTATGATTGATAGATGATTGGTTGACAGATAATTGATATAGACACATGATTAATAGGTGATTGACAGATAATTGATAGACATTAATAGAAATGTATGATTGATGATTGGTTGACAGATGATTGATAATTGATATAGATGCATGATTAATAGATGGTTGATAATTGACAGATAATTGGTATAGATGCATGATTGATAGATGATTTATTGACAGACAATTGATACATAAGCGATACAGATGCATGATTGATAGGGAATTGATTGACAGATGATTGATAATTTATATAGATGTATGACTGATCAGTGATTGGTTGATAGGTAATTGATATAGATGCATGATTGACAGATGATTGGTTGTCAGATAATTGACCGATAGTAATGGATAGCTGATTAATAGATAGATAATTGATTAATCAATAATTGATAGATGATAGATAAAGAATCTCTCATGCCCAGGCAGCTTTCTCAGCTCTGGCACTGCTGATGTTTGGGACTGGAGGACTCTCTGTCTTGGGGCCACCCTGGGTGCTGCAGGGTGCTAACTCTCTTGATGAGGCCGTCCTGGGTACTGTAGGGTACTGAGTCTCTGTGATGAAGCCGTCCTGGGCTCTGTAGGGTGTTGAGTCTGAGTCTCTGTGATGAGGCCGTCCTGGGCCCTGTAGGATGCTGAGTCTCTGTGATGAGGCCGTCCTGGACACTGTAGGGTGCTGAGTCTGAGTCTCTGTGATGAGGCCGTCCTGGGCCCTGTAGGGTGTTAAGTCTCTGTGATGAGGCCGTCCTGGACACTGTAGGGTGCTGAGTCTCTGTGATGAGGCCGTCCTGGGCACTGTAGGGTGTTGAGTCTGAGTCTCTGTGATGAGGCCGTCCTGGGCCCTGTAGGGTGTTGAGTGTCTGTGATGAGGCCGTCCTGGGAGCTGTAGGGTGTTGACTCTGTGGTGGGGCCGTCCTGGGCGCTGTAGGGTGCTGAGTCTCTGTGATGAGACCGTCCTGGGAGCTGTAGGGTGTTGACTCTGTGGTGGGGCCATCCTGGGCGCTGTAGGGTGCTGAGTCTCTGTGATGAGACCGTCCTGGGAGCTGTAGGGTGTTGACTCTGTGGTGGGGCCGTCCTGGGCGCTGTAGGGTGCTGAGTCTCTGTGATGAGGCCGTCCTGGGAGCTGTAGGGTGTTGACTCTGTGGTGGGGCCGTCCTGGGCGCTGTAGGGTGTTGAGTCTCTGTGATGAGGCCGTCCTGGGAGCTGTAGGGTGTTGACTCTGTGGTGGGGCCGTCCTGGGCGCTGTAGGGTGCTGAGGAGCGTCCCTGGGCTCCACCCAGCAGATGCCAGTTCACCCCCATGTTGTGACATGCAGACATGTCCCCTGATATTGCTGAGTGTGTCCGGGGAGGGGGCAGGATGTCCCCTGGCTGAGAACCACACTGCACTAAGGAATTAAGAGGACGGCCGCACTTAGAGACACAGTTGCCCATGAGCTCATACCGGCTTCTCCAAGCAGGTCACTCTGAAATCTTGTTTTTTTTTTGTTTTTTTTTTTTTTTTTTTTTTTTTTTGAGACAAAGTCGTGCTCTTGTCGCCCAGGCTGGAGTGCGGTGGTGCCATCTCGGCTCACTGCAAGCTCCGCCTCCCGAGTTCACACCATTCTCCTGCCTCAGCCTCCCGAGTAGCTGGGACTACAGGTGCCCGCCACCACGCCCGGATACTTTTTTGTATTTTTAGTAGAGACCGGGTTTCACCGTGTTAGCCAGGATGGTCTCGATCTCCTGACCTCGTGATCCGCCTGCCTCGGCCTCCCAAAGTGCTGGGATGACAGGCGTCAGCCACTGCGCCCGGCCCAACAGCTCTTTAAGTGGCTTGATTATGACCCTTGCACGCTGGCACCTGTCTTTGGGATCTTGGCATGGGCATGGACCCATGGATTAGTCAAACACCAACAGGGGCTCAGAAGGAAGGAGAGAATCTATATGGGAGGCTGGCACCTGGCAAGGGATGATCCCTTCATTGCTGCAAAGGCAATGAAGAAGGAAGAAGGAGGCAATGAACAAAGGAAGAAAGGAAGGGAGGAGTGATGGAACGAAGGAAGGAAGGGGAAGGAGGGAGGGAAGGACGAAAGGAAGGAAGGAGGGAGGGAAGGAAGGAAGGAAGGAAGCTTCCATTCTTCCATTGTAGCAGCAGCGTACACTGCCCAGCCCGGGCTTCGTTTCCACTTTCTGTGACCTGGTGTGGCGGTGAGTCTTACTCAGCGTGCTTGAGCCGAAATGTCACCAGCTGCCCGCCGACCTGGGATGACACCTTGGGCCGTTCTGTTTTCTCCCGTTCACCGGTCAAGACGCTGAAACTCGGGAGCTTTTGGCGGCCGAGCTGCGTGAAGGGACTTCAAGAGACGAGGAGACGGACCCCGTGGAAACCTCTCCCACCTGGCGATTGGTGAGGAGGACAGAGGCGACGGCAGAGGCGGTTTCATTTTGTGCTTTGAGACGGCCGTTTTGAGGTTGGGAGGCAGCCGCGATGGGAGTTGGGTTTGTCAATGGCATTTTTTTTTTTTTACTTTTTTATTATTATACTTTAAGTTCGAGGGTACATGTGCACAAAGCGCAGGTTAGTTACATACGTATACATGTGCCATGCTGGTGTGCTGCACCCATTAACTCGTCATTTACATTGGGTATGTCTCCTAATGCTGTCCCTCCCCTCTCCCCCAGGAAACAACAGGTGCTGGAGAGGATGTGGAGAAGTAGGAACACTTTTACACTGTTGGTGGGACTGTCAACTAGTTCAACCATTGTGGAAGTCAGTGTGGCGATTCCTCAGGGATCTAGAACTAGAAATACCATTTGACCCAGCCATCCCATTGCTGGGTATATACCCAAAGGACTATAAATCATGCTGCTATAAAGACACATGCACACGTATGTTTATTGCGGCACTGTCCACAATAGCAAAGACTTGGAACCAACCCAAATGTCCAACAACGATAGACTGGATGAAGAAAATGTGGCACATATACACCATGGAATACTATGCAGCCATGAAAAAGGATGAGTTCATGTCCTTTGTAGGGACGTGGATGGAATTGGAAATCATCATTCTCAGTAAACTATCGCAAGGACTAAAAACCAAACATATTCTCACTCATAGGTGGGAATTGAACCATGAGAACACTTGGACACAGGAAGGGGAACATCACACACCGGGGACTGTTGTGGGGTGGGGGGAAGGGGGAGGAATAGCGTTAGGAGATATACCTAATGCTACACCAACATGGCACATGTATACGTATGTAACAAACCTGCACATTGTCCACATGTACCCTAAAACTTAAAGTATAATAATAATAATAATAATAATAATAATAATAGTAATAATAAGCTGACCAGGATTTCCCCTCAGAAGGGCCCTTTCCCTGAGGGTCTTCGCTCCCCGAGGCGGACCCTACAGTGATCCGTGTGGGGGTTCCTGGGGCGGCGGTCGTCCCCTCCCGGGGGGTCTCCTGGCACCGATCTCACCTGCGGGAGCCTCTCCGGCCTGGCTCTTTGATGTGCAGAGATGGCGAAGAAGAAAATAACTTTAAAAATGGTGAGAAGCCGTCATTGAAGTTAACATAAAAGAGGATGACGCGGGGTGTTAATTGGTCTGTCTCTGGCATAATTTGGGCCCGGGAGACGGGGTCCCTGGGCCCCTCGCCCGAGAGCGGAGACTCACATCTTTAATTCAGCAATCTTTGTATTAATTACCTCCGCATAGGTACGCTTTGATTGGGAGCGCTTTCTTATAAAATCACAGCGATCGTCTGCCTTAAGATAAATAGATGAGAGTTGAGCTGGGGGAAGAAAAAAAAAAAAAAACAGTTCATTCGACTCTGAATATCAAATTCAGGATAAAACACCACTGATTCTCGGTCATTCTCAGTAGGGGAAGGAGCTTCTATTCTTGACCCAGCCCACGACACGTGCCGGGGCTGTCAGCGCCGTGAGAGGCACCTGTGTCTCCCCGAGCTGAGGACGGATGACATTTGTACCTACAGGTTTGTATACGGTCCTGGGAGGTGCCTCCTTGCCAGTGAAGGACCAGAACTCACGGCCGGCCATGGGTGCCCGGCGCCGGGATGGGCAGGAGCGGTGGCCCCAGGTCCCGGGTGTGGGTGAGGCCCCAGGAAAGAGGAGAATTCACTGGGAAAATGCAGAGCTGAGGGAAAAGACAGGGGTGTCCCGGGGACCCGTCCAGACCGCAGGATGGTGTGAGGCCGGGAGGTGGACGCGGCGGTGAGCTGTGATTGCGCCACTGCACTCCAGCCTGGGTGACAGGGCAACACCCTGTCTCTCTCTCTCTCTCTCTCTCTCTTTTTTGTTTTTGGAGATAGAGTCTCGCTCTGTCACCCAGGCTGGAGTGCAGGGGCGTGATCTCGGCTCTCTGCAACCTCCGCCTCCCGGGTTCAAGCCATTCTCCTGCTTCAGCCTCCCGAGTAGCTGGGATGACAGGCACCTGCCAGCACGCCCGGCTGATTTTGTATTTTTAGTAGAGATGGGGTTTCACCATGTTGGTCAGGCTGGTCTCGAACTCATGAGCTCAGGGGATCCGCCTGCCTCAGCCTCCCAGAGTGCTGGGATGACAGGTGTGAGCCACTGCGCCCGGCCAGGAATCAGTTTTTATTACGCTCAAAATCCCCTAAAAACTAGGCACCAGGGGAGGATGAACTGGCTCAGAGAGAAAGAGAGAGAGACACAGAGACAGAGACAAAGAGAGAGGCAGAGAGACAGAGACAAAGAGAAAGAGAGATAGAGAGAGAGAAAGAGAGACAGACGCAGAGAGACAAAGAGAGATGGAGAGACAGAGAAAGAGACACAGAGAGAGGCAGAGACAGAGAAAGAAAGAGAGGCAGAGACAGACGGAGAGATACAAAGATGGAGAGACAGAGAGAGACAGAGAGGGACAGAGAGATACAGATACAGAGAGAGACGTAGAGACACAGAGAGAGACAAAGACGGAGAGACAGAGAGAGACAGAGAGATACACACAGAGAGACAGAGACAGAGACAGCAGACGGAGAGAGAGAGAGATGGAGATGGAGAGAGACAGAGACACAGAGAGAGACAGACACAGAGAGAGACAGAGAGACAAAGATGGAGAGACAGAGACAGAGAGACAGAGACACACAGAGAGACAGAGACAGAGAGACACAGAGAGAGACAGACAGAGAGATGGAGAGACAGAGAGACACAGAGAGAGGCAGAGACAGAGACAGAAAGACAGAGAGGCAGAGACAGAGGGAGAGATACAAAGATGGAGAGACAGAGAGAGACAGAGAGGGACAGAGAGATACAGATACAGAGAGACGTAGAGACACAGAGAGAGACAAAGACAGAGAGACAGAGAGAGACAGAGAGATACACACAGAGAGACAGAGACACAGAGACAGCAGACGGAGAGAGACAGATGGAGATGGAGAGAGACAGAGACACAGAGAGAGACAGAGACACAGAGAGAGACAGAGAGACAAAGATGGAGAGACAGAGACAGAGAGACAGATACACACAGAGAGACAGAGACAGACACAGAGAGAGACAGACAGAGAGATGGAGAGACAGAGAGACACAGAGAGAGGCAGAGACAGAGAAACAGAGAGACAGAGAGACAGAGACACAGACAGAGACAGAGACAGGGAAGGAAGGAAGGGAGGGAGGGAAGGAGGAAATGAAACCAAAGAAAGGAAAGAAAAACCCCCAAGAGTCACAATCAATATACGTCCTGCACAAATTCCTGCAGTTTCCAGGAGGTTCCCGCAGCTCCCCGGGGCCCGCCACCCCCCGCCACCCCCCACCCACTCCCAGAGCCGCCTCCTTCAACACCCCGACGTGCTTCATCTACCACGAGGCCCACGGCGGCTTCCGGAATATGCGGCAACTTTTTATTTTTTTTTTATTTTTATTTTTTTTAAGGGGTAAAAAAAGATAAAGCAAACACGGAACAGCACACTCCTCCCGGCCTTCCTTCTTCTGACACCGTTTTCCTTTAGAAGATCTGAAACTACAAGTCAGGACATGACACGTGGAGCGTCCCAGGCACGCGCAGCCTCTGCTGTTTGATTTCCGACGTGAGTCTATAGGTGAGGCTGACAGGTTTCAGATGGAAGAGGCAGGGCAGACGCCTTTCAAGAGAGGCGCGTTGTCTGGGTAAATCCATCAAGGGTGCGTCCTGGGAGACGACGGGCCGCCTTTGTAGACAACGCCACGGCACGGGGGCCCCCCACGCTGGGCGCCCACCCCGGCTGGCTGACAGGCGGCCCCCGTTTCACCGTGATCACGAGTAAAAGCCAGTTCCCTGCAGGTTACGGGGCTGCTGTGTTTTGACATTGACCTTAATGCATAATTTAACCACAAAGCATATGAGGTACGTGCAACCAGATGAGGAAAGGCCACAGGACTGGCAGGTAACGTGATGCTGAATCAGAAAGGATGTTTGTTCCCGATCGTGCGGACGTGGGGGCCTCTGCCGAAGAGGCGGAGAGGGGAGGAGGGGGAGGAGGAGGCCGCGGTCGTGTCTGTCCCAGGGCTGTCGAGGAGAAGTCGGTCTGGGGTCCTGGATGAGGAGCAGAGCTCGGGGAGCTGTTAACATTTCCTGGGACAGCGATGGGCTTGGAGAGCCTCACTGTGCACACATGTGGCCTGTTTTTTTTATTTTTATTTTTAGTTTTTGAGATGGAGTCTCGCTCTGTTGCCCAGGCTGGAGTGCAGGGGTGTGATCTCGGCTCACTGCAACCTCCACCTCCCGGGTTCAAGCCATTCTCCTGCCTCAGCCTCCCGAGTAGCTGGGACTACAGGCGCCCGCCGCCACGCCCAGCTAATTTTTTGTATTTTTAGTAGAGACGGGGTTTCACCATGTTGGCCAGGCTGGTCTCGAACTCCTGACCTCCGGATCAGCCCGCCTCGGCCTCCCAAAGTGCTGGGATGACAGGCGTGAGCCACCGCGCCCGGCTATGTGGCCTGTTTGCTGGGACGGAGCCGCTGGCATCCTGGCGGCAGCTTCAAAACACAGTCACAGTCTCAGGGGAGCAAAAGCACCCGGTCCCCATCACTGTCCCCAAGAAAGGGAGCAGCAGGGGGTTCCCGCGGCTGGCCAGGAAGCTGGGGACAAACGGTGGCGTACCTGAGCACCTGCATTCCCGCAGTGAAGGACAGGTCGACACGGGCAGCTTTGCTTCTCTCCTGGCCAGCTCGGTCAAGCTTCCTGCCTCTGGTGCCTGGAATGCAGAGTCCTGGGTGCGCAACAGGCATTGCCTGGGTGGGCTGGCGTTTTTGATTTGTTTTGTTTTTTTGAGACAGAGTCTCACTCTGTTGCCCAGGCTGGAGTGCAGTGGCGTGATCTCAGCTCACTGCAACCTCCGCCTCCTGGATCCAAGTCATTCTCCTGCCTCAGCCTCCCGAATAGCTGGGATTACAAGCACCTGCCACCGCACCGGGCTAATTTTGTATTTGTAGTAGAGACGGGGTTTCACCGTGTTGGCCAGGCTGGTCTCGAACTCCTGACCTCAGGTGATCCACCCACCTCGGCCTCCCAAAGTGCTGGGAGGGTTGGTGTTTTTATGACCTTCACACAGACCCCAGAGCTGGTGTTGGAGGAGGGTGCAGAGACCCCAGGAGGTACCCTGGAAAGGAGCCCAATAGGAAGACCCAGGACTCTAGGGCAGCAGGTTCAAGCCTGCTCAGCTGGGAAGACCGTTTCCTTCAGGAGTGTGGCGGGTTCCACACGGCGGGTTGGAGACATGCACCTGCCCAGGCTGGGCCACTCAGGGTTCACGCCGGGGCACTGAGTATTTTGGGGGTGCAATGAACTCTGCACAACGCACCAGGGTGGGGGCAGAGATGAATCAAAGAAGACAGCTGTTTGTGTGTGAGCTTCCCTGGCCTGTGCACACAGAGACAGACATACACACCCACACACACACAGGCACACAGATGCCTGTACACATACATTCACACCCAGACACACATATGCATTCGTACGCACCTACACACACATCTGTACACACACATTCACACCAACACACAGACATACATTCATACACACCTGCACACACACACACGTACACACACTCCTATACACATACATTCACACCCACACACAGACATACGCACCCACACACACATTCATACACACCTGCACCACACACAGGCGCACACACTCCTGTACACACACATTCACAACCCCACACGTACACACCAGGACACACACATTCATATACACCTGAACACAGGTGCACACACACGCCTGTACACATCCATTCACACCCACACACAGACATACACACCTGTACACACACATTCATACACGCACACACACACGGGTACACACGCCTGTACACGTTCACACCCACAGACATATACACAGACACACCTGCACACACACACACAGAGGCACATGCACACACACACCTGTACACATACATTCACATGCACACACAGACACAGCCCCCCACACACACAGGTGCACACACACGCCTGTACACATACATTCACACCTACACACAGACACACACCTGTACACACACATTCATACACACATGCACACACACACGGGTACACACGCCTGTACACGTTCACACCCACAGACATATACAGACACACCTGCACACACACACACAGAGGCACATGCACACACACACCTGTACACATACATTCACATGCACACACAGACACACCCCCCACACACAGGTGCACACACATGCCTGTACACATACATTCACACCTACACACAGACATACACACCTGTACACACACACACACAGACACACCCCCCCCACACAGGTGCACATACACGCCTGTACACATACATTCACACCTACACACAGACATACACATCTGTACACACACACATTCATACACACACAGATACACACCCACGCACACACAGGTGCACACACACGCTTGTACACATACATTCACACCCACACACAGACATATACACACAGACATTCATACACACCTGCACAGACACACACATACACAGGCCCATGCACGCACACCTGTACACACACACACCCACACACAGACATACACATCTGCGTGGCAAACATTGACCCCTTCCTCAGGCTGCTGCTGCTGCTGCAAATGTTACTCAGCGATCGTCCAGCCCAGGCTGCAGGCCGACCCTGAGGGCCCTGGAGGCCTCATAAACCACACGTCCGGCCTCGGCTGATTCCACAAGGCTCCGTGGAGCTACCTGTGCAGGGGGGAGAGGCGTGAGGCTCAAAGGGGCCCTGGACGCAGGGACAGACGTTTCTTTACAGACACCCACGTGAGGCAGACAAACCACACATATGTCTCCAACCACACATGGTAATTCGTGAGGATGAAGAGATGAAGGCCCCAGGCCATATTCCCTTTGTGCTGTCCTGGTCTAGCGTGAAATGTTAATTTTTGCCTTTTTTCGTGTACAAAGGGGCCCTTAGGTTGTTAGATGTTCCTGCTTTCATAGTAGACGCATGTGGACTTTTCGTGGTATTTTGTTGTGTTTCTACTGCTTGTTGGAGGCAGAAAAAGCGACTCGTCAATGTTTTATAATGAAAATGAAAAGTATGAAAGGTGAGTGTGAAGTTGTAACAGACATACTTTTGTGAATTTTGGTGATTTTTTTTGTTTGTTGGTTTCAGTCTTTGGAAAAAATCTGTGGTTGGCCGGGCGCGGTGGCTCACGCCTGGCATCCCAGCACTTTGGGAGGCCGAGGTGAGTGGATCATGAGGTCAGGAGATCGAGACCATCTTGGCCAACGTGGTAAAACTCCATCTCTACTAAGAATACAAAAAATTAGCGGGGTATGGTGGCGGGCACCTGTAGTCCCACCTACTTGGGAGGCTGAGGCAGGAGAATCGCTTGAACCTGGGAGGTGGAGCCTCCCCAGATGCACGGCTGTGTCCCAGTCCAGGTTCCAAAGGGGCTTTGTGGATCTTTTTCTGCAGACCGAATGAATGCTTTGTCCTGCCAAGTCCTACGTTGAAACCCTGAACCCCAAGGTCAGAGTGTTACTAGTGGGGGGTCTTTGGGAGGTGAGGAGGTCGTGATGGTAGAGTCTCACGAATGGGATTAGTATCCCCATAAAAGGGACACCAGAGCTTCCTCTCTCTCTGTCTCTCTCTCTGTCTCTTTCTCTCCACCCCGCACCATGGAATGACACAGCAAGAAGGTTGCCGTCTGCAAGCCAGGAAGGGAGTCCTCACCAGGAGCTGAGATGTTGCTACTTTGATCTTGGACCTCCAGTCTTCATGTGTGTGAGAAATCAATGTCTGTTGTTTAAGCCCTGTGGTTTGTGGTACTTTGCTGTAGATTTTCTTTCTTTCTTTCTTTCTTTTTGAGACTGAGTCTCACTCTGTCGCCCAGGCTGGAGTGCAGTGGTGTGATCTTGGCTCACTGCAACCTCTGCCTTCTGGGTTCAAGTGATTCTCCTGCCTCAGCCTCCTGAGTAGCTGGGACTACAGGCACCTGCCACCACACCTGGCTGATTTTTATATTTTTAGTAGAGACGGGGTTTCACCATGTTGGCCAGGATGGTCTCAATCTCCTGACCTCGTGATCCACCCGCGTCAACCTGCCCAAGTGCTGGGATTATAGGCATGAGCCACCGTGCCCGGCAATTCTATCTATCTGTCTGTCTGTCTGTCTGTCTGTCTGTTTGTCTGTCTATCTATCTATCTGTCTATCCATCCATCCATCTAATCCATCCATCCATCTATCATCTATCTATCCATCTATCTTTTGGGTTTTTTTTGAGACAGAGGAGCTGAAACATAGTGAGAGGTTTCTATACCCAGAGAGCTCAACCTCTAGGGTGGAGAAGTTTAAACATTCACTAAACTGGCTTTCATTTAGTAATTGGTGCAGAGCAAAGAGAGACATTTGTGTATGTGTGTGTGTGTGTTTTCACATCACAATATATCATTCTCTTCTCTTCATTTTGTCTCATTTTTCAGAAGCAACAAAAAGGAGAAGATAAGTTTATTTCCATGCAGAGAAGGGAGAGTTTGCTTTCCATTTTATTTTATTTTATTTTTCAGATAGAGTTTCACCCTTGTCGCTCAGGCTGGCGTGCAATGGCGCAATCTCGGCTCACTGCAACCTCCACCTCTGGGGTTCAAGCGATTCTCCTGCCTCAGTCTCCCAAGTAGCTGGGATTACAGACACCCGCCACCACACCACACTGCAACCTCTGCCTTCTGGGTTCAAGTGATTCTCCTGCCTCAGCCTCCTGAATAGCTGGGACTACAGGTGTCTGCCACCACACCCGGCTGATTTTTGTATTTTTAGTAGAGACGGGTTTTTACCATGTTGGCCAGGCTGGTCTTGAACCCCTGACCTCAGGTGATCCTCCCGCCTTGGCCTCCCAAAATGCTGAGATGACAGGCATGAGCCACCATGCTCGGCTGAGTTTGCTTTCTTTGGAGAGCAAACAGATAGCCCCACCAGAAATGTACTTATTTACTTAGTTGCTTGCATGTTTGGAGTGGATGTTGGAGTTTTTCTCAGCCAGGGAGGTGAGAAAGTCTCCATCAAGTACTCATTCATTCATTCATTCATTCGTTCATTCAATTCAACTTTGAATTTAAAAGTGGAGAGTTCCCCTCCGTCTGACCACAAAGTGATGTGCAGAAGTAGCTTCATTTTAAACCTGCAGATAAGATGGATCGGTCTCTGATTTGTAATTAGAAGTGCAGCAGATAACGAGACAATCTGAATGTCCTACCAAGTCTTTGACCTGTTCTTTGGGAGGTGGCATAACCTTATCTTCAATCATCAAGGCTGCACGTGGAGGAGTTATTCAGGCAGCTGAAAATATCACCCCAGATCTTGCAGAGGAAGCAACCTAGGAGTCGGAGTGTCCCTGCAGATGCTCCACACACGGGTGGGATATAGAAGGAGTGGAGGTGGACGAGGTCTAAGGAGAACAAGGAAAAGGACATGAGAGGATCAGAGAAGACCTCAATAGCTTAGCCAGGGAAGGAATTCATGGGAAAAACATTAGGGGAATTTATAGTCTTGGCAGGGAACCCAAAGATGGAGACTCAGACAACAGGGCAGAACCCAAGGGAGGAAGGTGGTCGGGGAGGACTCTCCAAGCTGCCTCTGGGCTCTGGAGATGTTGCTGTGGTCATGAGGAATTTCTGTCCTGCAGCTGATTTCCTTTATTCTCTCAAGGTTCCAAGTGCTGGGCAGAAAGTCCAGCTCCCTGGATGCCAGGATGGGGGGGATAGAGAATGTATGAGGCTCCAGGATGCCAAAGAGGGAGGTGACGCTGGTTCCCACTGAGACGTGTGAGGCAGGAATGACCCCAAAATGACAAGGCTCCGAGTCCCAGCACGATGATTCAGCTTCCCCATCTCACGTGTTCATGGAAGGAGCATGAGGAACTCAGGCATCAGGAAGAAAGTGCCCTCGGTTTGGGGTGGGGCGAGCTTTGGGAACCTCAGGAAACATTTCACGATGACCAACAGGATCAGCCAGTGGGAGAGGAAGAGGAGATTTGTTGCAACCTTGAGGTGGGTTCACTGTGGACACAAATCAGAGGCAGGACAGCCACAGAGAGGACCAACTATTGGCCACGTGTGGGTAAGAGGAAAGAATTGTGACTGGGTTCACAGTGCAGGGGGCATGGATTGAAAAGCAGGACACATCTTCCTCTCTTCTGGTTTCATTGAGCCTTTGCTAAATAGAAGCTAGAATCTCATAGACCTGGTGGCAGCTGTCTTACTCCCTTGGTGTTGATATGGCAGAATGCCATAGACTGCATGGCTTAGAAACAATAAGAATTTACTGCTCACAGCTCTAGAGGCTGGGAAGTCTCAGATCAACGCGTGGTAGATTTGGTGTTTGGTGGGGAAAGTCCCAGATCAAGGCGTGGTAGATTTTGTGTTTGATGGGGACCTGTTTGCTCATTCATAGACGGTGCCATCAGGCTGTGTCCTCATATGGTGAAAGGGGTGAGGGAGCTCTCTGAGGTCCCCCCTTTTTTTGAGATGGAGTTATGCTCTTGTACCCCAGGCTGGAGTGCGATGGCACGATCTTGGCTCGCTGCAACCTCTGCCTCCTGGGTTCAACTGACTCTCCCGCCTCAGCCTCCCAAGTAGCTGGGATTATAGGTGTCCACCACCAAGCCTGGCTAATTCTTGTATTTTTAGTACATATGGGGTTTCACCATGTTGGCCAAGCTGGTCTCGAACTCCTGACCTCAGGTGATCCTCCTGCCTTGGCCTCCCAAAATGCTGGGATTACAGGCATGAGCCACCGTGCCTGGCCTGGGGTCCCCCACTCCTTTTTTTTTTTTTTTTCCTTTTTTAGATGGAATTTTGCTCTGTTGCCAGGCTGGAGTGCAGTGGTGCGATCTCAGCTCACTGCAACCTCTGCCACCCGCATTCAAGGGATTCTCCTGCCTCAGCCTCCCAAGTAGCTGGGATTACAGGTGTCCACCACCACGCCTGGCTAATTTTTGTATTTTTAGGAGAGACAGGGTTTCACCATTGTTGGCCAGGCTGGTCTCGATCTCTTGACTTTGTGATCTGCCAGCCTCGGCCTCCCAAAGTGCTGGGATTACAGGCCTGGGGTCTGTAATTTTTATAAAGGCACTAATCCCATTCATGAGGCTTCATCCTCACAATCTCATCACCTTCCAAAACTCTACTTCCTAACACCATCACCTTAGCGGTTAGGGATTCAACATAGCAATTTGTCGGGGGAACACGACATTCAGTGTATACTGACCGTTGTTCTTCAAACACCTGCTAAATTATAATTAATATCATTATGGGAGAACACCCTTACCATAGAATATTCCCACCACCAGGATCTCCGTGATATACCTTCCAACTCTGCAAAATAACAAAACAGCAAAACAACACAACGCAAACGGAATAAAACCCTTTTCTTTTGACTGAGTGCAGGGCAAGTTAGAAAACTCCCCAAAGATGAGTTTCTCCTCCTTTTTTTTTTTTTTTTTTTGAGTTATGAGCAGAAAAAGTTTGGACACTTTCGCAGAACTCAGAAACATATTAATTTTTCACGGCCTCGTAAGTCAAAAATGGCTTGTCCAATTTGCTTCAAACTTCGCAGCCTGATAGAAAGCCCCAGAACTTTCCAGCCAGAGAAGATATTTTGTCAGAGTTGGAAGGAGGTCAGAAGAGGGCATTAATGTGGAGGATGTGAAGACCTGGGCCCCGACCCTTGATGGGCCTATCTGTAATTAGCTGGAGCCCTCCCCCGGATTTGGGGTTGACAGACGCTCAGGACAGCACGATGATCTCAAGGGCGTCAAAGGGCAAAGCTTCCCCATCAATGGCTCTGTTTGGAGAGGGAGTAGCTGGGGGAGTCAGGGACTCAGCGTGGGGCTCACACCCTCTTTTACCGAGCACTTCTGATTTATATTATAAAAATCTCATTTTCAGAAAAGAAGGGAGTTTTACATGGGATAGGGTGGTGTGAAATCAGCAAATCAGCAAAAAGAAAACAAAACAAAAACGCTTTTCAGGAAAACGATGATGGATTTGGGTGGGGAGAGGGCAGAGCTCCTGGGACCTGATTACTGTTAATTTGTAATCCAGGGAGGTCCTGAGCCTGGTGAAATATTAATGCTTGAGAAAGGCCACTGTCTTCTGATTCTTTCTGTGCTTTTGGGACAATCCCAATGGATGCAACACACCCCCGCGTTGATTTATTTATGTTCACAGCATGGCCGAGGCAGCAGGAGACCCCAAGTTGTATTCAAAATATCCAAAAGGGGCTTTTCTTTTTCCCTTTGTTTATTCAAAATATTCAAAAAGGGCTTTTCTTTTTCCCTTTGTTTCCGCGATTTCTGCGCTGTTGGCTGAAAGTGCTCTGAGTTCACGCGCTACGGGGGGTGACTTCCATTTCTGCAGACAGCAGCCTTGGGGATGGCCTGGCGAGGGCTAGGAATACCACACCCTGATCCCATTCTTCCTGGCTCAGTCCTGACTGTGAGAGTCACGGTGGACTCTGGGTTTTTCGGTTTTTTTGTTTGTTTGTTTTTTTGTTTTTTGTTTTTTTTTTTTGACAGGGAGTCTCGCTCTGTCGTCCAGGCTGGAGTGCAGTGGTGCACCCTAGGCTCACTGCAACCTCCGACTCCTGGGTTCGATTCTACTGCCTCAGCCTCCCGAGTAGCTGAGACTACAGGCACCGGCCACCACGCCTGGCTAATTTTTTTTATTTTTTAAATAGAGATGTGGTTTTGCCGTGTTGGCCAGGCTGGTCTCGATCTCCTGATCTCAGGTGATCCACCTGCCTCGGCCTCCTAAAGTGCTGGGATTATAGGCGTGAGACACCATGCCTGGCCTCTGAACTCTGTTTTAAGTTTTTTTTTTTTTTTAATTGAGGTGAGTTTCACGAAACATGCAATCAACCATTTTATTTTTATTACTTATGTATTTATTTTGAGACAGGGTCTCGCTCTGCTGCCCAGGCTAGGGTGCACTGGTGCAATCACAGCTCACTGCAGCCTCAATGTCCTGGGCTCAGGTGATCCTCCTGCCTCAGCCTCCTGAGTAGGTGAGACCGTGGGCATGCCCCACCATGCCTGGCTAATTTTTGTATTATTACTATTTTCTTGGTAGAGACAGGGTCTCACTGTGTTGCCCAGGCCCATCTTGTACTCCTGGTCTCAAGCGATCCTCCTGCCTCGGCCTCCCAAAGTGCTGCAATTACACAGGTGAGGCAACGCAGCCAGCAACCCTTTCAAGCAGAAGGATTTGTTGGTATTTACTGAATTCACCTTGTTGTGGTAGCATATCATCTACATAATACCAGAATATTGTCATCCCTCAAAAACAGAGCCAGGAGAAGAACTGCCCATTTTCCCTCCCCATTCCCAGGCAACTCAAAATCTTCCTTCTGTCTCTATGGGTTTGCCTGTTCTACACATTTCGTATATGATGGGAATAGGCTTTTTTTTTTTTTTTTTTTTTTTTAGAAAGAGTCTCGCTCTGTCAGCCAGCCTGGAGTGCAACGGTGTAATCTCGGCTCAGTGCAACCTCCACCTCCTGGGTTCAAGCGATTCTCCTGCCTCAGCCTCCTGAGTAGCTGGGATTACGGGCACCCCCCACCACACTCAGCTAATTTTCTTTTCTTTTTTCTTTCTTTCTTTCTTTTTTTTGAGATGGAGTCTCGCTCTGTTGCCCAGGCTGGAGTGCAGTGGCACGATCTCAGCTCACTGCAATCTCCGCCTCCTGAGGTCAAGTGATTCTCCTGCCTCAGCCTCCCAAGTAGCTGAGATTACAGGTGCCCACCATGCCAGGCTAATTTTCTTTTTTTGAGATGGAGTCTTGCTCTGTCGCCCAGGCTGGAGTGCAATGGTGAGATCTCGGCTCACTGCAACCTCCACCTCCTGGGTTTAAGTGATTCTCCTGCCTCAGCCTCCTGAGTAGCTGAGATTACAGGTGCCCACCATGCCAGACTAATTTTCTTTTTTCTTTTTTCTTTTTTTTTTTTTTTGAGATGGAGTCTTGCTCTGTCGCCCAGGCTGGAGTGCAGTGGTGTGATCTCAGCTCACTGCAACCTCTGCCTCCTGGGTTTAAGTGATTCTCCTGCCTCTGCCTCCTGAGTAGCTGGGATTACAGGTGCCCGCCACCATGCCCAGCTAATTTTCTTTCTGGTTTTTTTTTTTTTTTTTTTTTTGAGACAGAATCTTACTCTGTTGCACAGGCTGGAGTGCAATGGCATAATCTTGGCTCAGTGCAACCTCTGCCTCCTGGGTTCAAGCGATTCTGCTGCCTTAGCCTCCTGAATAGCTGGGATGACAGGCACCCATCACCACGCTCAGCTAATTTTTGTGTTTTTAGTAGAGATGGGGTTTCTCCATGTTGGCCAGGCTGGTCTCGAACTCCTGACCTCAGGTGATCCACCCGCCTCAGCCTCCCAAAGTGCTGGGATTACAGGTGTGAGCCACTGCTCCTGGCCAAAAAATTATTTTTTATAGACCTGGGGTTTTGCTATGTTGCTCCGGGTGCTCTCCAATTGCTGGGCTCAAGCAATCCTTCCACCTCAGCCTCCCAAAGTGCTGGGATTACAGGCACGAACCGTAGCACCCGACCGGCCTCTTTATACTATTTTGCAGGAACATTACCTTGCTTTCAGTGAGTGCAGTTCCCACGAAAAAGCCGCGAGTATGGAGAAGTTTGCCTAGAAAACTTAGGCAGTTACTCCTTTTAGATAATTTAACTTCAAAGTCGAAACAGGGCATCGCAGAAAGGATCTGAATTTAGAGGTATGTTTTATTGAATCACTCAAGGCCTAGAAATAGAAATGATCAAAGGGTGTTTGCGAGCGTGCTTTCCAGCTTCTGAGGAGCTGAGCCCAGCTCACTAATGATGGCAATTGTGGTCATAGGTGACTCGCCCCCGAGCTGGGGGTGCCTCTGAGCGCCTCTGCCTTCCACCCTACTGGGGAGCAAGGCTGTGGGGCCACCTCTAATGATTGGTTGTTATTGTCTGAGGATATCTAGAAATTCAAGAGAGATCTACTTTATACTCTGGAAATGAAGAGCCTTTTGTATTCAGCAAAGGGATCGGTGTTGAGAGGGGGCTTCACGGGTGTACACCGTGGGGAGTATCCCTCCTGGGTTCCAAGCTCAGACAGGTGGCCCAAGACAAGATGTCTGGCTTTTTAAATTTTAATTTAATTTAATTTAATTTTAATTTAATTTTAATTTAATTTTAATTTAATTTAATTTTAATTTAATTTAATTTTAATTTTAATTTTAATTTTAATTAATTAATTAATTTATTTTCGAGACAGAGTCTCTCTCTGTCGCCCAGGCTGGAGTGCAGTGGCGCAATCTCGGCTCACTGCAAGCTCCGCCTCCCGGGTTCACGCCATTCTCCTGCCTCGGCCTCCAGAGTAGCTGGGACTACAGGCGCCCGCCACCACGCCCGGCTAATTTTTTGTATTTTTAGTAGTAGAGACGGGGTTTCACCGTGTTGGCCAGGATGGTCTCGATCTCCTGACCTTGTGATCCACCCACCTCGGCCTCCCAAAGTGCTGGGATGACAGGTGTGAGCCGCCACGCCCGGCCCGTTATTTTTATTTTTAGTACAGATGAGGCTTTTCTCTGTTGCCCAGGCTGAAGTGCAGTGACGTGATCAGGGTCCTTGCATTTTTTGTTTTGAGACAGGGTCTTGCTCTGTCGCTCAGGATGGACTGCAGGGATGTGATCCCAGCTCACTGCAGCCTCAGCCTCCTGGGCTCAAGCCATACTCCTGCCTCAGCCTCCTGAGTAGCTGGACTACAGGTGTGTGCCAGTATGCCTGGCTGTTTTTTTCTAAATGATTTTTTTTGGTAGAGATGGGGTCTCACTATGTCTCCCAGGCTGAAGCTCTGTGGTGTGATCATAGCTCACTGCAGCCTCGAACTCCTGAGCTCAACTGATCCTCCCACCTCAGCCTCCTGAAGTGCTGGGATTAGGGGGGTGAGCCACTGCACTCAGCCAACAGATAGAGATGGGGTCTCGCTATGTCTCCCAGGCTGAAGCTCTGTGGTGTCATCATAGCTCACTGTAGCCTCGAACTCCTGGGCTCAACTGATCCTCCCACCTCAGCCTCCTGAAGTGCTGGGGTTAGGGGGGTGAGCCACTGCACTCAGCCAACAGATAGAGATGGGGTCTCGCTATGTCTCCCAGGCTGAAGCTCTGTGGTGTCATCATAGCTCACTGTAGCCTCGAACTCCTGGGCTCAACTGATCCTCCCGCCTCAGCCTCCTGAAGTGCTGGGATTAGGGGGGTGAGCCACTGCACTCAGCCAACAGATAGAGATGGGGTCTCGCTATGTCTCCCAGGCTGAAGCTCTGTGGTGTCATCATAGCTCACTGCAGCCTCGAACTCCTGAGCTCAACTGATCCTCCCACCTCAGCCTCCTGAAGTGCTGGGATTAGGGGGGTGAGCCACTGCACTCAGCCAACAGATAGAGATGGGGTCTCGCTATGTCTCCCAGGCTGAAGCTCTGTGGTGTCATCATAGCTCACTGCAGCCTCGAACTCCTGGGCTCAACTGATCCTCCCGCCTCAGACTCCTGAAGTGCTGGGATTAGGGGGGTGAGCCACTGCACTCAGCCAACACATCTGTAAATATGCCTAAGGCATCTATACCGTAGTAGGTTTGCTACAAGGATCAAGCAAGATAGTGTTCTGGAAATACAAGCCTCACCCTTACGAAGCTGTTTCAGCAGGTGTAACAAATGGCCGTTCACAGAGTGGCTCAAAAAAACACACATTTGGCCAGGCGTGGTGGCTCATGCCTGTAATCCTACCACTTTGGGAGGCTGAGGTCGGAGGATTGCTTGAGACCAGAAGTTTGAGACTATAGCCTGAGCAACAGAGTGACGTAGTGATACTTTGTTTCTAGAAAAATAAAAAAAAAAATAATTAGCCGGGTGTAGATGGGGGGGGGGGGTGGTCTGTAGTCCCAGCTACTCGGGAGGCTGAGGCAGGAGGATCCTTTGAGCCCGGGAGTCCGAGGCCGTACTGAGCTAGGATTGCACCACTGCACTCCAGCCTGGGCGACAGGGCGAGACTCTGTCTCAAAACAGAAAACAACAAGAACAAGAAGCCCCCCGAAAAAACAAGAAGTCCTGCCCACTCTTTTTTTTTGAGACAGTTTTCCTCTTGTTGCCCAGGGTGGAGTGCAATGGCGTGATCTCGGCTCACTGCATTTTCTGCCTCCCGGGTTCAAGAGATTCTCCTGCCTCAGCCTCCTGAGTAGCTGGGAGTACAGGCACCTGCCACCACGCCTGGCTAATTTTGCATTTTTAGTAGAGATGGGGTTTCACCATGTTGGCCAGGCTGGTCTCGAACTCCTGACCTCATGTGATCCACCTGCCTCGGCCTCCCAAAGTGCTGGGATGACAGGCGTGAGCCACCCTGTCTGTCCCCTTTCCTTTATCTTTTACAACTCCAGGACTTTAGCATAAGCCTACAAGTCCTCCCCCTTCTTTTAAGATTTTTTTCCTCTTCGATTTCACTCAGCTGAGAGAAAGGGGAGACCTCCCCCCCTCCCTTTTCACCAAACACCTACTCATTTTCCCAAGCTGTACCCACCATACTCACAGCAAATTTCATTTAGGATAGACATTTTATTTTATTTATTTTTTTTTTCATTTTTTTGAGACAGAGTCTCGCTGTGTCGCCCAGGCTGGAGTACAGTGGCACGATCTCGGCTCACTACAACCTCCGCCTCCCGAGTTCAAGTGATTCTCCTGCCTCAGCCTCCGGAGTAGCTGGGATGACAGGTGCACGTCAACCTCAGCCCACAAGGTGGCCCAAGGCACACGGAGTTCACATTGTACCCACCATGGGTCGAAGGTGGGCGTCTGATTCCTCCTGAAGGGTGGGGAGCTGTGATGTGAACAGGCCACTTCAATGGGACAGGCGTGATCTCCATTTGGGACTAAATACAAGCCCATGGAGGGTCCACAGAGCACCAAGGGAAGCTGGCATTTCAAAACATCTGCCTCGTTTGTCTAAACCACACCACACCACACACCACTCTGGGGTCTGTTTGGCCACAGAGAATCCTCTAGCCCCAAATGTCAGCAGAGCTGAGGCTGAGAGACACTGACTGAGGGACTCTATCTATCATCTGTCAATCAATCAATCAATCATCTATCTGTCTATCCATTATCTATCTATTTATCCACCTATCATCTATCTATCTATCATCTATCTCTCTCTCATCCGTCCATCCATCGTCTATTCTATCTGTCATCTATGTATCTATCCATCTAGTCATCCATCTATCTATCCTGTGTGTATTTATCCATTCTATGTATCTATCTATGTATCTATCTATGTATCTATCTATGTATCTATCTATCTATCTATCTATCTATCTATCTATCTATCTGTCATCTATGTATCTATCCATCTATTCATCCATCTATCCTGTATGTATTTGTCCATCCATCCATCCATCTATTCTATCATCTATCTTCATCTATGTATCTATCCATCTATTCATCCATCTATCCTGCATGTATTTATCTATCCATCATCCATCTATTCTATCATCTATCATCTATGTATCTATCCATCTATTCATCCATCTATCCTGCATGTATTTATCTATCCATCCATCCATCTATTCTATCATCTATCTATCATCTATGTATCTATCCACCTATTCATCCATCTATCTTGTATGTATTCATCCATCCATCCATCTATTCTATTATCTATCTATCATCTATTCATCCATCTATCTATCCTGCATGTATTTATCTATCCATCCATCCATCCATCTATTCTATCATCTATCTGTCTTCTATGTATCTATCCATCTATTCATCCATCTTGTATGTATTTATCCATCCATGCATCTACTCAACCATCCCTCCTCTATTTATCATCTCTATCATCTGTAAGTCAATCAGTTTATCCATCATCTATCAATCACCCACATCTATCTTTATTATCTATCACCTGTCTATTTATCTATCTATCCTGTATGTATTTATCCATCCATCCATCCCTCCATCCATCCATTCCCTGTCTATCTCTATCATATAGAGAAAAATGGCAGCCGCGTCCACACTGGCCTCAGAACTCTCTGGTGAGGTTGCACCAATGAAGCAACAGATTGTGAGGATGTCACTTTTCTGGTTTTTTTTTTTTCAAGATGGAATCTCACTCTGTCACCCAGGCTGGAGTGCAGTGGCACGATCTCAGCTCACTGCAACCTCCACCTCCTGGGTTCAAGTGATTCTCCTGCCTCCGCCTCTTGAGGAGCTGGGACTACAGGTGCTCACCACCACGCCTGGCTAATTTTTGTATTTTTAGTAGAGATGGGGTCTCACCGTGTTGGCCAGGCTGGTCTTGAACTAGTGACCACAGGTGATCTGTCTGCCTCGGCCTCCCAAAGTGCTGGGATTACAGGCATGAGCCACCGTGCCCAGTGACGTCACTTTTCTTTGAATAGTTTAGATCAAACCGCACCAACTGTATGTGACTTTGTTATATCTTTTATTATATGTATAACAGAAATACATAGTTATATGTGTTGTATTTGGAAGTGTATCACTGAATGTGGTTCTGAGGACCTTGGGGAATTATTTAATTTAATTTAATTAATTTATTGTAGAGATGGGGTGTCATGAGGTTGCTCAGACTGATCTCAAACTTCTGGGCTCAAGGGATCCTCCCTCCCTTCTCGGCCTCCTAAAGTGCTGGGATTACAAGTGGGAGCCACTGTGCCTGGCAGGGGGATTATTTTAAATGCTTCCTAAGCAAAATAAATAATGCATGAGACACTTACTGCATCTGCTCCTCAAATTCCTTCCAAAAGTGCTTTGGGGCCGGGTGCAGTGGCTCACGCCTGCAATCCCAGCACTTTGGGAGGCTGAGGTGGGAGGATCGCTGGAGCCAGGAGTTTGAGACCAGTCTGGGCAACATAGCAAGACCCCAGCTCTATAAAAAAAATATCTTGGGAGGCCGAGGCGGGCAGATCATGAGGTCAGGAGATCGAGACCATCCTGGCTGACACGGTGAAACCCCGTCTCTACTAAAAATACAAAAAATTAGCTGGGCGCGGTGGCGGGCGCCTGTAGTCCCAGCTACTCGGGAGGCTGAGGCAGGAGAGTGGCGTGAACCCGGGAGGCAGAGCTTGCAGTGAGCCGAGATCACGCCACTGCACTCCAGCCTGGGCGACAGAGTGAGACTCTGTCTCAAAAAAAAAAAAAAAAAAATCAGGTAGATGTGGTGGTTTCCACCTGTAGTCCCAGCTCCTGGGGAGACTAAGGTGGGAGCATTCCTTGAGCCCAGGACGTCGAGGCTGCAGTGAGCCAAGATCGTACCACAGCTCTCCAGTCTGGGCAATAGAGTTAGCTTCTCATCTCTGCAAAAATAAAGATTAAAAAAAATACTCTCATTGTTCAACTCCCACTTAGGAGTAAGAACTTGCGGTGTTTGGTTTTCTGTTCCTGTGTGAGTTTGCTGAGAATGATGGTTTCCAGCTTCGTCCATGTCCCTGCAAATGACAGGAGCTCACCCTTTTTCATGGCTGCATAGTATTCCATGGTGTCTGTGTGCCACATTTTCTTTATCCAGTCTATCATTGATGGGCATTTGGGTTGGTCCCAAGTCTTTTGCTATTCCCAGCAGGTTTTCAAAGCCCGTCGTCTTTGCTTAGCGTGCACCATGATGTCGGCTCTCTGAATTCACCGTCTTTCTAGATGAGTCCCAGAGTTTTTCTTCATCACTCAGTATTTGGCAACAGGGAAGTTTTTCTAAGCAAGTCAACCCATCAATGATAGACTGGATAAAGAAAATGTGGCACATAGACACCATGGAATACTATGCAGCCATCAAAAAGGATGAGTTCATGTCGTTCGCAGGGACATGGATGAATCTGGAATCCATCATTCTCAGCAAACTCACACAGGAACAGAAAACCAAACACTGCATGTTCTCACTCCTAAGTGGGAGTTGAACAATGAGAACACATGGACACAGGAAGGGGAACATCACACACCCGGGCCTGTCGAGGGCTGTGGGGCTGTGGAAGGGATTGCATTAGGAGAAATTCTCACCATCTATGAACCCCTCATTTCCTCATCGGGAAAAATGTACCTGAAAATAGCGCCTGCCTCTGAGTGTTGTGGTAAGGAAGCAATGCCATTATTTATGTCTCATGCTGTGGCTTGAGACTGTGTCTGTTTATGCTGCTCTGGTTTGTGGTGGAGGCTGCCGTCTGTCAGCCTCTGCACCTGCCGTCTGTCAGCCTCTGCACCTGCTCTGAAGTTTTCCTCTCGGTGGTACCCACCCATCATCCTGCTGCCCTTGAGTTCCCAGGAGCCCACAGGAGCTGCACTTTCTCCAGGCCTTTTGCCGGTGGAGCTGCCTCTTGGATTGTGCGTCTCCATCCGATGCACTCTGTTTTCATGTGAAAATCCATGGGAATAAAAAGGCTCTTTTCGTGCTGAAAAATTGAGCCCAGGGGTTCAGCCAGCAGAGGACTCTGTGGGTATAAATATGAATGGAGAGGATTCTAAATATATAGCAGAGCAGAAGTCAGATGTTTGTGGAGAGGTGAAACGGCCTGGCCAGGTTCTTGGAACTTTAGAAATGAGGATGGCTTCCGGGGGAACTGGGGAGCGACCGTTCTCAACTGGGGATGAACATGCACCCCGACGGACACTCGGCACTGTCTGGGGCGGTTCTGGGTGTGGTAACTGGGAGGGGGGTGCTCCTGGCACCTGGTTTGTGGAGCCCGGGGATGCTGCTCACCACCTTACAGTGACCACAGAGAATCCTCCAGCCCCAAATGTCAGCAGAGGTGAGGCTGAGAGACACTATCTGAGGGACTCTATCATCTGTCAATCAATCAATCAATCTCTCAATCTATTATGCATCTATCTATCTATCTATCTATCTATCTACCCACCTATCATCTATCATTTATCTATGTATCTATGTATCTATGTATCTATCTACCTATCATCTATCTATCATCTATCTATGTATCTATCTATGTATCTATTATCTATCTATCCACCTATCATCTATCTATAATCTCTCTCTCTCCCAACCATCCATCTATCCATCCATCCATCCATCTATCCATCTATCCATTATCTATCATACATCTATCTATTCATCCATCCATCATCTATCATCTCTATCATCTATAAATCAATTTATCCATCATCTGTCATTCATCCATCCATCACCCATCTTTATTATCTATCATCTATCTATCCATCTATCATTCATCTATCATCTACCCATCCATTACCTATCTATCTCTATCATATATAAATCAATCAATCTATCATCTATCATCCACCAATCTACCTATTTATCTAGATCTGCCTATCTACCTTTATCTATTATCTATCATCAATCTTTATTATCTATCTATCATCTATCTACAGATCTATTTATTGACCCATTATCTATCTATCATCTATCTACCTATCTATCTAATCTGTGCTTTTCAGCTGCTGCCGATTGTCTCCTCTGAGGACACTTTGTCAGTCTCTGGGGACACTTTTGGTTGTCTGGATTGTGGAGTGAGGGTGCTTCTGGTCGCTGGTGGGTGAAGCCCAGGGACACTGCTCAACACCCTACAGTGCACAGATCAGCCCCACCAGAGAGAATCGTCCAGTCCCATGTGTCGGAAGTACCAGGGCTGAAAGACACTGCCTGAGGCTGAGACAATCTCTGTTTGTCTATCTATCACCTATCAGTGATCTATCAGTCAATTATCTACCTATTAACTGTCTATATCAATTATCTGTCATACCTATCAATCAGCTATCATTAATCATCTGTCTATATCAATTATCCATCATACCTATCAATCAACTATCTATCATCAATCATCTATCTATACTAATTATCCATCATACATATCAATCAACTAACAATCATCAATCATCAAGCATCTATATCAATTATCCATCAAACCTATCAATCATATATCATCAATCATCTATCTGTGTGAATTATCCATCATACCTATCAATCAGCTATCAATCGTCAATCATATATCAATTATCCATCATACCTATCAATCAACCATCTATCAATCATCAATCTATATCAATTATCTGTCATACCTATCAATCATCAATCATCTATCTATATCAATTATCCATCATACTTATCAATCAACCATCTATCTATATGAATTATCCATCATATCTATCAATCAACTACCTATCATCAATCTATATCAATTATCCGTCACACCTTTCGATCAGCTATCTATCAATCATCAATCATCTATATCAATTATCCATCAAACCTATCAATCAACTATTTGTCAATTATCAATCATCTATATCAATTATGCATCATACCTATCAACTATCATCAATCATCTATCTATATGAATTATCCATCATACCTATCAATCAACTACCTATCAATCTATATCAATTATCCATCACACCTATCAATCAACTATTTATCAATTATCATCTATATCAATTATGCATCATACCTATCAACTATCATCAATCATCTATCTATATCAATTATCCATCATACCTATCAATCAGCTATCAATCATCAATCCTTGATCTATATCATTTATGCATCAATCATCAATCATCTGTATCAATTATCAATCATCTATTTACCTATCAAATCAACTATGTATCATCTTTCATCATATCTATCAATTGTCCATCAGTCAGTTATCTACCTGTCTATTCAATGGTTTGCAAACAGGATGATTTTCTTTTTCTGAGAAGAGGTCTCAAAACTTTGTTTTGGGCTGGGCACGGTGGCTCACACCTGTAATCCCAGCACTGTGGGAGGCCAAGGCGGACCGATCACCTGAGGTCTGGAGTTCGAGGCCAGCCTGGCCAACATGGTGAAACCCCGTCTCTACTAAAAATACAAAAACTAGCTGGGCGTGGTGGCGGGTGCCTGTAATCCCAGCTACTCGGGAGGCTGAGGCAGGATAGTTGCTTGAACCTGGGAGGCGGAGGTTGCAGTGAGCCGAGATTTTGCACTCCAGCCTGGGCAACAAGTGTGAAAATTCGTCTCAAAAATTAAAAATAAAAAATAAAATCTTCATTTTGTCCTGAGTTGAAACTGAAGGGCCGGCATCGTGCTTCCCAAAGATGTCCTGTTTTATGCTGGAGGTGGCAGTTTCTTGTATTTGCAGATATGTGTGAAAAACCAGACCTTGGCAATGACTTTGACAATAGGCGGTAAATAACTGCCAGATGCTTAGCGTTCCAATAATGGAATGCTAGGCATCGATAGGTTTAAGCCCCCTATGATTTTAGCACTGATATGGAAGTACGGGATTCCTTCATGGAGAAAATAAGACACTGGTTTTGCTTTCTGTTTTCTTTTCTTTCTTTTTTTTTTTTGAGAAGGAGTCTTGCTCTTGTACCCCCAGGCTGGAGTGCAATGGTACTATCTCGGCTCACTGCAACCTCCGCCTCCCAGGTTCAAGTGATTCTCATGCCTCAACCTCCAAAGTAGCTGGGGTTACAGGTGCACGCCATATCTGTGCACCATGCTGGCCAGGCTGGTCTCGAACTCCTGACCGCAGGTTACCTGCCCGAGCCACCACGCCTGGCCGCAAACACCGCATTTCAAATATACTGAGTCCTTCAGCTCGGAGGTCAGAAATGGCCAAGGGCGGCCGGGCCGGTGGCTCACGCCTGCAATCCTGCAATCCTAGCATTTTGAGAGGCCAAGGTGGGAGGATTGCTTGACGCCAAGGAGTTTAAGACCAGCCTGGGCAACATAGCAAGACCCCGATTTCTACACAAAATAAAAAAAAAATTAGTCAGGCGTGGTGGCTCACGTCTGTAGTCCCAGACACTGGGAAGTCCGAGGAGGGAGGATCGCCTGAGTCCAGGCGTCCGAGGCTGCAGTGAGCCATGATTGAGCTACTGCACTCCAGCCTGGGCAACAGAGCCAGACCCTGTCTTAAAAATAAAATAATAATTCAAAAAATAGGCCAGGCGCGTTGGCTCATGCCTGTAATCCCAGGACTTTGGGAGGCAGAGGTGGGCAGATCACCTGAGGTCGGGAGTTCAAGACCAGCCTGGCTAACACGGTGAACCCCCGTCTCTACTAAAAATACTAAAATCAGCTGGGCGTGGTGGCAGGTGCCTGTAATCCCAGCTACTCGGGAGGCTGAGGCAGGAGAATGGCTTGAACCCGGGAGGCGGAGGTTTCAGTGAGCCGAGACTGCGCCATTGCACCCCAGCCTGGGCAGCAAGAGCGAAACTCCGTCTCAAGAAAAGAAAAGAAAAAAAATGCTCAGGTACATTTTTGCTTTATTTCAGGATTTCTTTACGTTGCTGTGAAAACCTGGATGTTGGGGGCTCTGTCTGTGTATCGTAGACGGAGTTTTGAATTGCTCCAGTGAAACACAAGTATTTTACCTTACGCTGTCAACCTGCTGGGGGAAGCGTGAAGACAGTTTAACCTTCTGGCTCCGGTAATCATCTTGTCTCAGAGACCTCGGAGAGCTCCCAGAGCCTGGCTGCCACGGTGGTTCTATATACCCTCCAGCCCTGGCCTGCCTTGGGACACCCCTCTCCGCCTGCCGGCCCCAGAATTTCCCCACACACGCGGTCATCACAGCCCGAGATGTTTAATGACGGCTTCATGCACCAGGCTATTGCCCTAAACACGGGTGACAGGCCAAACACACACTAATTACCTAACTCAATTCAAGCCCGCCTGGCCCCGTGGAAAGGCTGAGCTGGGGATGCACGCAGGTGCCCCGTCGTTACCTCCGGATGTCAAATTGAAGTGAGGTTTTCCCGCATGAGCGGGGAGAGCTGTTTCTACGCACCAAGATTTCCACGGTTTGCAGGAGAAAGAGTTTTGTGTCTGCCCTCTGGACAGCCCTGTCAGTTTTATCAAGCGTGTCTGATTAAGGAATATTTAAAGGTATGTGTTCAGAAGCGTTTCTCCCCTTCTTTTGTGTGTGTGTGTGGCCATGTTTAAAAAAAACAAATGTAAAACCAGTTACAGGCAAAGTAGGCTAGTTTGGTGCTGAAATAACGCCGTCGTTCATGAGCCGGCTTAAATAATGCAGTTGTTAGAAACCAGCTCTCAAAGCTGTGGGTTGGCTGAGGAGGGTTAGTACGAGGTCCTGACCCCAAACCTGTGTGTATCTGGAGCCGGCGGGAGACATTTGGCCTGGAGTATGAGGCTGGCTGGACCTGGAAGGTCCTCAGCGTTAGAGGGACTGTTTCGGGAAGGTTTTCTGGCAGCTGAGTCCCAATTCCAGGAGGAAGTAGGCATTGAGTAGATAATTTCAGCTCCCCCATTGAAGCCGTCCAGCCTGCAGAGAAAGATAGCAGTGGCCCCCTGCCCTATCCCGGCAAAGCTGACCCCGAGAATGCCCGGGTCACAAGCCCAGGTGGACAGTGTCTCCTTGTGCCTCGGAAGAGAATTCTGCATTAGGAAGGAATCCAGGGGGAATGGGGAGAAAAGGCCCGAGATACGTGAGCAGAGGTGAGAGCCGTGCCAGGGCTGAGCCACGCTTCAGGAGAGACCAGCTATGTCTCTCTCTGTGTTGGGAGCCGTTGGGTAAAGCGGGGACTTCTGGGTGAGCCAACATTACAGACTTATATGGGAATTTAAGGCTCGGTTAAATATGCCCCTCAAAAAAGTTTCCTGACTTTTTTTTGATACGCCAGTTTCATTATCAGGGGGCTCATCAGCCGGGGACGCGGTGCAGGACGGATGGAAGCCGTGGGCCGTGTCAACTCTACAGGGCTGTATTTCTTTTTTTTTTTCGTGCTCATTACGATTCTTGGATGTGTGTAATTTACATCTAAATGCACTGACTAATTTTGATCCAATCATGTCAAAAATGATAGGTACTGTGTGGGAGGAGATGACAGCCGTACCAGCGCGCGTTGCCAGAGTGAGAGTCCCTCGGGGCAATGATTTAATGCCCCCAGTCAGCCGGGCCTGTCAGCTTCGGAGGCCAAATTATGACACATCATGTCGACGACCGGTCCACACGGAGGCTGCGGTGGGGGGAGCCCTGGTTCACCCAGCACCGTCCTGGCCGACCCCCGGCCCCGGCTGCCGCCCCGTGCCCCGTCACACACGCAAGATGCAGAGTGGGGAGAAATGATGCGCTAACCCCCCTGTAAAAGAGTCATTTGCATCTGTATTTTTTACTCCAGCAAGGGCATGTCAGGTGTTTGCGGGAAGGGCAGGCTGGACGGCCTCCATGCAGCGTGAGCGTGTCCGCGTGTGTGTGTGCACGTGTGTCCACATGTGTGTGTGGTGTCTGCGTGCCTCTGTGTGTGTCCGTGTGTGCGCACGCGCCCGTGTGTGTGCATCTGTGTGTGGCGTCAGCATGTGTCTATGTGTGTCCATGTGTGTATGTATGTGTGCATGCATGCACCTGTATGTGTGTCTGTGTGCATGCATGTGAGTGTATGTGTGTGTGTCTGAGTGTGAGCGTGCCTATGCACGTGTGTGTGTGCATGTTTCTGTGTGTGCATACGCCCATGTGTGTCTGTGTGCATGCGTGTGTGTGTATGTTAGTGTGAGGGTGGACGTGTGCCTATGCACCTATGTGTGTATGTGTTTCTGCATGTCTGTGCATGCATGCACCTGTATGCGTGTCTGAGTGCATGCGTGGGAGTGTATGTGCGTGTCTCAGTGTGGGCATGCCTATGCACATATGTGTGCACATGTTTCTGTGTGCATATGCTTGCATGTGTGTGTGCATGCATGTGAGTGGATGTGTGTGTGAGTGTGGGCATGCCTATGCACGTGTGTGTGTGCATGTTTCTGTGTGTCTGTATACGCCTGTGTCTTGAGTGTGTGAATGTGCCTATGGACATGTGTATACATGTTTCTGCATGTCTGTGCATGCATATGCCTGTGTGTCTCTGTGTGCATGCGTGTGAGTGTGTGTGTATGTTAGTGTGAGGGTGGACGTGTGCCTATGCACCTATGTGTGTATGTGTTTCTGCATGTCTGTGCATGCATGCACCTGTATGCGTGTCTGAGTGCATGCGTGGGAGTGTATGTGCGTGTCTCAGTGTGGACATGCCTATGCACATATGTGTGCACATGTTTCTGTGTGCATATGCTTGCATGTGTGTGTGCGTGCATGTGAGTGGATGTGTGTGTGAGTGTGGGCATGCCTATGCACGTGTGTGTGTGCATGTTTCTGTGTGTCTGCGTATACGCCTGTGTCTTGAGTGTGTGAATGTGCCTATGGACATGTGTGTACATGTTTCTGCATGTCTGTGCATGCATATGCCTGTGTGTCTCTGTGTGTATGCGTGTGAGTGGCATTCATGTGTGTGTATTTGCGTGAGGTGGGCATGCCTATGCACGTATATGTGTACATGTTTCTGTATGTCTGTGCATGCATATGCCTGTATATGTGTCTGTGTGCACATGTGTTCATATATGTGTGTCTGTGTGAGTGTACATATGCCTATGTACGTACGTGTGTACGTTTCTGTGTATCTGTGTGTCTGTGCGTGCATCTGCCTGTATATGTGTGTGTGTGTGCAAATGTGTCTGTATGTGTGTGTCTGTGTGAATGTGGGTGTGCCTTGTACGTATGTGTGTACATGTTTCTGTGTATCTGTGTACCTGTGTGTGCATTCGCCTGCATGTCTGTGTGTGTGCATGCATGTCAGTGAACGTTGGCGGCCTCTCCTCAGAGCCCCTCTTGCCTGAAGGAAGTGCCACCTCCAGCCCCCCTTTGCTTTGTTTTGCGTCTCGGGAGTGACGTCACTGTCGGCTCCGCAGGATCCTCCCATCCTTGTTCGTCCTGGGCTTGCGGGATGAGTCTGTCAGGAGCAGACACGCCGTGGTGGGCCGTGCACACGTTTGCACCTGCTCTCAGAAGTCCTTTCCCCGAGGAGGAGGCTCTGTTGGAGAGAGAGACCCTTGGGCACCTGTGGGCCCTCACTGCTCTCTTCTGAGACTGTGGTACCGGCCATCTCCAGCCCTGGCCCTGGCCCGGTGACTTCCCCAGGGCACCCCAGGGATGTGCCAAAGGAGGACTCCCCGGGGAGGGTGGGTGAGGTGCGTGCCCGCCGTGCCGAGACGCTCCTGAAGGCAGAGGCTGCTCAGGAAAGTCGGCTGCTTCCTAATCTCCGTCCGTGCTCACGCAAAGTCCTCGGTCGCCGTCTGCCACACGCTTATTTTATTTGGCAGAAGTTACAGCTCAGGCAATTTCGTTAGGAAACCTGTTGGGGTTTCTTGGTTCTATGCAGGATGGCTGGTGCTTTAGGAGGAGGTGGGGATTAGAAAGAGTCTTGAGGCCGGACGTGGTGGCTCACGCCTGCAATCCCAGCACTTTGGGAGGCTGAGGCGGGTGGATCACGAGGTCAGCAGTTCGAGACCAGCCTGACCAACATGGTGAAACCCCATCTCTACTAAAAATACAAAAAAATCAGCCAGGTATGGTGGTGGGCACCTGTAGTTCCAGCTAGTCGGGAGGCTGAGGCAGGAGAATCACTTAAACCTGGGAGGTGGAGGTTGCAGTGAGCCGAGATCGCACCAATGTACTCCAGCCTGGGTGACAGTGTGAGACTCCATCTCAAAAAAAAAAAAAAAGTTAGCCAGGCGTGGTGGCAGGTGCCTGTAATCCCAGCTGCTTGAGATGCTGAGGCAGGAGAATCACTTAAACCCGGGAGGTGGAGGTTGCAGTGAGCCAAGATCATGCCATTGCACTCCAGCCTGGGTGACAAAAGTGAGACTACGGCTCAAAAAAAGAAAAAAAAATACAAATAGTAGCCAAGCCTGGTGGTGAACACCTGGAACCCTGGCTACTTCGGAGGCTGAGGCGGGAGAATCGTTTGAACCCGGGAGGCGGAGGTTGCAGCGAGCTGAGGTCGCGCCTGGGAGGCAGAGGTTGCAAGATTCTGTCTCGGAAAAAAAAAAAAGAAAATATGATCCATCTGTAACATTGAATGCTACACAGCCATGAAAAAGAATCAAATCATGTCCTTTGCAGAAATACGGATGCAGCTGGAGGCGCTTCTTCTTCTTCTTTTTTTTTTTTTTTTTTAGACGGATTCTCACTCTGTCGCCCAGGCTGGAGTGCAGTGGCGCGGTCTCGGCTCACTGCAAGCTCCGCCTCCTTGGTTCACGCCATTCTCTTGCCTCAGTGGAGGCCCACATAAGAGGGAGCTAAAATTGGGTACAAATAGTCATAGAAATGGGAACAATAGATGCTGGCGTCTGCTAGACGGGGGAGGGAAGGATGGAGGCAAAGGCGGAAAAATCATACGTTGGGTCCCATGCTCAGTACTTGGATGGCACAATCCTTCATGCCCCAAACTTCAGCATCACACATTATACTCAAGCAACAAATGTGCACATGAGCCTCCTGAATCCGAAATAAAAGTTGCCATGATTTAAAAAAGAAATAAAGATGATGATTGAAATATGTGTTTTTATTTTTTGAGACAGAGTCTCGCTGTGTCACCCAGGCTGGAGTGCAGTGGCGTGATCTCAGCTCACTGCAACCTCCACCTCCTGGGTTCAAGCAATTCTCCTGCCTCAGCCTCCCGAGTAGCTGGGAAGACAGGCGCCTGCCACCATGCCTGACTAATTTTTGTATTTTTAGTAGAGACGGGGTTTCTCCATATTGGCCAGGCTGGTCTCGAACTCCCGACCTCAGGTGATCCACCTGCCTTGGCCTCCCAAACTGCTGGGATTACAGGTGGGAGCCACTGCGCGCAGCATTTGTCTGTTGTTTATAAGTTGCCACATCTGACATTTGGTGGTGTTGGATTTTCTCTGAAGGTCTTTTTTTTTGAGATGGAGTCTTGCTCTGTCGCCCAGGCTGGAGTGCAGTGGTGCAATCTCGGCTCACTGCAACCTCCGCCTCCTGAGTTCAAGTGATTCTCCTGCCTCAGCCTCCCGAGTAGCTGGGATTGCAGGCACCCACCACCACGCCTGCCTAATTTTTGTGTTTTTAGTAGAGACAGGGTTTCACCATGTTGGCCAGGATGGTCTCAAACTCCTGACCTGGTGATCCGCCTGCCTTGGCCTCCCAAAGTGCTGGGATTACAGGCATGAGCCTCCACACCTGGCCTTTTTTTTTTTCTGAGACTGAGTCTTACTCTGTCGCCCAGGCTGGAGTGCAATGGCACGATCTCGGCTCACCGCAACCTCCACCTCCTGGATTCAAGCGATTCTCCTGCCTCAGCCTCCCGAGCAGCTGGGATGACAGGCCCCCGCCACCACACCTGCCTAATTTTTTTTTGTATTTTCAGTAGAGGTGGGGTTTCACCATGTGAGTCAGGCTGGTCTCCAACTCCTGACCTCAAGTGATCCTCCCGCCTCGGCCTCCCAAAGTGCTGGGATCGCGGACGTGAGCCACCACACCGGCCAACATTCACGCGATTTTCAGAATTAGCAGCCACCCGTCTGGGTCCCCACAGTGTTTGGGGAAAGGGATTTGGGGGTGTGGTACGCCCTGTGTTCCCCGGCGGGCAGCTGGGGCCGGACTCCCTTGCCGACATCCTGTGTGTTCTCTGCATCTCGAAGTTGTCACGAACTCTCATGGCAACCCCCTTCTCGTGCTATGGGTTCCGTTTAGCCTCCCTCAGAATTAGCTAAAAACCCACCGGCTTGATTTCTGGCATTTGCAACGGCCGCGCTCAGGAAACCTCCTGCCTCCTGAAAATGCTCATGCTGGCGGAACGGGAAGGCAAATAGGAATCCGTGGATGATAAATGGGCGTTTTAAGCAGCAGTTTACTTAATATCCCTATTAAACGAGACTCTTTGCATTAATCACTTCATTCTCCAGCAGTCTATAAGGCCCTTTAATTGCTTCTTAAATGAGGACTGAGTTTCCGTCCAAACTCAATCTTGGATGGGGAGAGAGAGATGCTAGCCAGGGCTCAGCTGCCCGGCTGCCAAGAACTGTCAGAATTGATCACGTATGTGTTCACGTTTCCTACAGTCTCATTGGAGTTCTCTGAGATTGACAGGAGAAAGTATCACATACTTTGTGTGTGTGTGTGTGTGTGTGTGTCTGTGTGTGTCAGAGACAGAGGGACACAGAGGCCGGGAGCAGGGGTGTGTAAGTGTGAGGTTCTGAACGCAAAGACAGGCCGTTCTGCTCACAATCCACAGGCCAGCGACCTTGTGGACCATTGCATTATGTATTAGCAATATTTATTTTCATTTTATGATTTTATTTATTTGAGACAGCTTCTTGGTCTGTCGCCCATGCTGGAGGGCAGTGGTGCAATCATAGCTCACTGCAGCCTTGATCTTCCAGGCTCAAGAAATCTTCCCTCCTCAGCCTCCCAACTAGCTGGGACTACAGGTGCATGCCACCATGCCTGTCTATTTTTTTTTTTTTGGAGGCAGGGTCAGTCACCCAGGCTGGAGAGCAGCGGTGTGATCTTGGCTTACCACAACCTCCGCCTCCCAGGTTCAAGCGATTCTCCTGTGTCAGCCTCCCGAGTAGCTGGGATGACAGGCACCCGCCACCACGTCTGGCTAATTTTTGTATTTTCAGTAGAGACAGGGTTTCACCAAGCTGGCCACGCTGGACTCGAACTCCTGACCTCAGGTGATCCACCTGCCTCGGCCTCCCAAAGTGCTGGGATTATAGGCGTGAGCCACCACGCCGGGCCCATACCTGGCTATATATATATATATATATATATATATATATATATATATATTTTAATGTTTTGTAGAGATGGGGGTCTCACTATATTGCAAACCAGGCTGGTCTCAAACCCTTGGGCTCAAGTGATCCTCCCACATCAGCCTCCCAAAGTGCTGGGATTATATATTTATCTACTTTTGAGATGGAGTCTCGCGCTGTCGCCCAGGCTGGAGTGCAGTGGCATGAGCTCGGCTCACCGCAAACTCCGCCTCCCGGGTTCAAGCGATCCTCCTGCCTCAGCCTCCCGAGGAGCTGGGATTACAGGCGCCCGCCACCACGCCCGGCTAATTTTGTATTTTTAGTAGAGACGGGGTTTCTCCATGTTGGTCAGGCTGGTCTCGAACTCCTGATCTCATGATCCACCCACCTCAGCCTCCCGAAGTGCTGGGATGAGAGGTGTGAGCCACCGCACCTGGCTACTTTTGTATTTTGAGTAGAGATGGAATTTCACCATGTTGGTCTGGCTGGTCTCGAACTCCTGACCTCTAGTGATCCACCTGCCTTGGCCTCCCAAACTGCTGGGATGACAGGCATGAGCCACCGTGCCCTGCCTGGGATTATTATCACAAATAACACCTATTCATTTTTACAAACCATATTTATGTAGTTATTCAAACCTAGGGCTAAAAATGATGTGGCTGCTGGGGTGACCTTTGGGGTAGGATCGGGAATTGGGGTGTAGCCCTCCTCCAGGCTCCATAGACCTCAGCCCCCCCAAGTTCTGTTTCTGACTTGTTCATGCTCAGAAAGTTGTCAGGGACGGCCTGGGTTTCTTTCCCACCTTCCTTGTTTGGGAGGAAGGTTCTGGAATCCTTTTTTTTTTTTTTTTTAGATGGAATTTTGCTCTTGTTGCCCAGGCTGGAGTGCAATGGTGCCAACTCAGCTCACTCCAACCTCCACCTCCCGGGTTCAAGCCATTCTCCTGCCTCAGCCTCCCGAGTAGCTGGAATTACAGGCATGAGCCACCACACCCGGCTAATGTTTGTATTTTTAGTAGAGACGGGATTTCACCACGTTGGCCAGGCTGGTCTCGAACTCGCGACCTCAGGTGATCTTCCCGCCTCGGTCTCCCAAAGTGTTGGGGTTACAGGCGTGAGCCTCCGCGCCCAGCCGGGTTCTGGAATCTTGAAGCTCCCCAGACACCAAGGCTGGATGGAAAGTTAGGCCATCAGAAAGCAAATGGGGAGAGGCTCGTGGGAATAGCGTGGGCCTCATGTAGTGTTTTGCTTTATGTGAAATGGGGCAGCAAAAAACAGCTGTTCCCTCCACCCCCCAGGCTGGAAAATTTATCTCCAGTATTCATTCTGGTAAATGAATGCCTGTGTGTTAGTAAGAGGGGAAGGAGCTGCTAGTCCTTGAGGTCAGCTGAAACCTCCTTCAGAGCCTCCAGCCTGGCCTTGAGACCGGCTCACCACATGTGAGCAGCCAGGAGCCCCGCCAAGACCTGCTGTTGCCCCTCCTTCCTGCCCTGCCCCAGTGCCGGGGTCCTGTGGATGTAGATTTTTTCTTTTTTTTTTTTTGAGATGGAGTTTCGCTCTTGTCCCTTAGGCTGGACAGCAATGGCGCGATCTCTGCTCACCACAACCTCCGCCTCCCAGGTTCAAGCCATTCTCCTGCCTCAGCCTCCGGAGTAGCTGGGATTACAGGCACCCGCCACCACTTGTAAATTTTGTATTTTTAGTAGAGATGGGGTTTCACCCTGTTGGCCAGGCTGGTCTCGAACTCCTGACCTCAGGTGATCCACCTGCCTTGGCCTCCCAAAGTGCTGGGATTACAGGCGTGAGCCGCTGTGCCGGGCCTGTTGATTCTTATCTGGCTTTCATGGGACCACAGGGGCTCCTGAAAGTGTGAAACAGAGAATTTCCATAGAACCCAGTAATACCCCAGCTAAGTATGTACCTAAAAGAATAGAAAGGAGGGGCCGGGAACAGTGACTCACGCCTGTAATCCCAGCACTTTGGGAGGCCGAGGCAGGTGGATCACCTCAGGTCGGGAGTTGGAGACCAGCCTGACCAACATGGAGAAACCCCGTCTCTACTAAACATACAAAATTAGCCAAGGGCGTGGAGGTGCCTGCCTGTAATTTCAGCTACTGAGGAGGCTGAGGCAAGAGAATCCCTTGAACCCGGGAGGCGGACGTTGTGGTGAGCCGAGATGGCGCCATTTCACTCCATCCTGGGCAACAAGAGTGAAACTCCGTCTCAAAAAAAAGAAAGAGGGACTGGAAGAGATATCTGCTCGCTCACGTTTGTAGGAGCACACACATGGAAACCATCCAGGTGTCCCTCAGTGGATGAATCGATAAACAAACAGTGGTTCACTCACTTTGTGCCCACCCAGTGGAGTACTATACAGCCATGAAAAAGAATGAGGCTGTGACCTAGGCTGCAACGTGGATACACCCTGAAGAAGTCACACTCAGCGATATTTCCTTTGGCTTATTGTACAATCCCCTTACGTCAACTGTCCGGAAGCGGCCAATGCACAGAGAGAGAGCTCAGATGAGTGGTTGCCACAGGCTGTGGGGAGGGAATGAGGAGGAACTGCTTCCTGGGGAGGGGGTCTCCTTTTATGGGGAGAAGGATGTTCTGGAAGTAGACAGAGGGGGTGGTTACACGGCGCAGTGATGTTCTCAATGCCACTGAGATTTTCACGGCGGTTAAAGTGGTGAGTTTTATGTTGTGAAATTTATGGTGAATTTCATATAATACGTTTTATGTCATTGCAGTGAAAAACAACACAATCCCGGCCCTCCTACGGCCCCCGCCTTCCCTCTGTGTCTGCGGTCTGTACCCTACGAACGCCTAGGACGCTAGACGGGATCCCTCCCCACGGAGCTATATAGGAAGGTGAACCCAGTCTGGGGTTCCTGAGCTGCTACGGCTCACTGCTTCCTTTCGGAAATTGGTGTATTGTCTTTGGAAAATGACTTCACACAAACCTGCTCACAGATATACCCGGTCCCAGATATGCCTAAGTGAGCGGAGACTACCGTGTCCTGAAACAGCATCTTCTCTTTTAAAAAATGTTGTGTTTTTTGTTTTGTCTTTTTTCTTTTTTTTGAGATAGGATCTCACTGTGTTGCCCAGGCTGGAGTGCAACAGTGTAATCATAGCTCACTGCAGCCTCAACTTCCCAGGCTCAAGCGATCCTCCTGCCTCAGCCTCCCAAGGAGCTGGGATTACATGTGTGCACCACCATGCCTGGCTAATTTTTTGATCTTTTGTATAGATGAGACCTCACTATGTTGCCCAGGCTGGAGTGCATCAGTGTAATCATAGCTCACTGCAGCCTCAACTTCCCAGGCTCAAGCGATCCTCCTGCCTCAGCCTCCCAAGTAGCTGGGACTACATGTGTGCGCCACCACGCCCGGCTAAGTTTTTGATCTTTTGTGGAGATCAGGCCTCACTATGTTGCCCAGGCTGGAGTGCAGTGGTGTAATCATAGCTCACTGCAGCCTCAACTTCCCAGGCTCAAGCGATCCTCCCACCTCAGCCTTCTAAGTATGTGGGATTACAGACATGCACCATCACGCCCAGCTAAGTTTTTGATTTCTTTTGGTACATACAGGGTCTCACTATGTTGCCCAGGCTGGTCTTGAATTCCTGGGCTCAAGTGATCCTCACTCCTCGGCCTCCCAAAGTGCTGAGATTACAGGCGTGAGCCACCATGCCTGGCCTCTTTTTTTGTTTTTGAGACAAGGTCTGAAATAACAACTATCTGTAAAAAAAAAAATATATATATATATATGGTTTTAATGTTATATATATAAGGTTTTAATGTTATATATAAATGTTTTATATTTATATATGACATATATAACATTTTAATGCTATATACATATAATGTTTTAATGTTATATATACATACAAATATATAAATATATATATTTTTAAACAGGGTCTTGCTCTGTCACCTGGGCTGGAGTACCCTGGTGTGATCACAGCTCACGGTTGCTTCGACCTCCTGGTCTCCAGCGATCCTCCTGTCTCAGCCTCCCCAAAATGCTGGGATTACAGGTGTGAGCCGCCGCTCCTGGCCAGCACCTTCTCTTATGCGGTACCTGGAAAGTCCCACATCATGCGAACGTCTCCACCAGGTACCCGGGAGGTGGCATTCGGGGAATGAGGGGGACCAGGGCTCAGAGCATCCCCAAAGTGGCTTCCTTGCCTCATAGGGTCACCCCCTTAGCCCAGAGCTGGAGGTGAGTGGGGGCGTGAAAGAGGCATCTTCCCTTCCAGAGGGCGGCAGTGGGGTTGAATGGATAACTTTAATCCTGACACACGTATTTCAGAAGACCTACCGCCAACTTTCCAGCTATGGGCAGCAGGTGTGATGAACACACGGGCCCCGGTGAGGGCTGAATGGGCCCAGATGGCAGGGGCAGAGAGGTTTGCATTCATTTTAATGTTCTCAGAAACTAGGATAAGCACTGGCAGCGGATGGAATGAGGAGAGCTGCATATTCGGTGAACTGTGTTGAAAGCACAGGGTTTTCACGGAAAATAAATAATGTCCAATGCAGCTAAAATACCGTGCGCCACCCGTAAGCCGGCGTTTATCCAGAGCTCCGAGTGTCTGTGAGATTTTAAGGAAAAGAAAGGAAGCTGGAAAAAAAAATAATAATCCAAATGAATCACAGACCAACGATCCCTAAAAGGTTTGCTTTAATAATTTTTTTTTTTTTTTTTTTGTGGCTGTGGAAGATGACTCGGATTCAAAATAATGAGGATGTTTATGTCTGCAGTCTGTTCCTCTCTTGAAGATTCAATTCTAAATAATGCAGGTCTCCTAAATGCTAGCAAATAGTGTCATACACTCCTTTTCACAAAATAGCTTTGACTTTGGGGAAGGCAACTATCATTAACTGGGCACCGGCACCTTTAAGCAAAGGTTTCCTGGAATAACAGTCAGCTAAGGAAATATAATGAGAGCTATTTCTTGCCCTTCCTGCTCGAAACCGTTGGCTGGAACTCAGCCTGCCCCTCAGCTGAAGCACGTCTGGTTTAAATTCATACGGCATAGATTTACAATTTTTAAACGACTGGATATGTATTTTTTTTTTTCTACGCTGTTTGCAGACCTGGTGGACACCTGTTGTTTCTGGTTAGGAAAGGAGGAGATAATTGGATACCAGAGAGAGCCTGACTTCTTGAGCCACCATTTAACCGGCTGATTTCAGCAATAAATTGGAGGGGGGCGGGGATGGGGAAAAAATAACACCCAAGAAACATTCAGACAGATTTGCAACCACAAAGTCTGTCTCCTTTATTATTTTAATTTTATTATTATTATTACTTTTGCTTTGTTTAACATAAAAACGATCTAGGCGAGTCCTTCTGGGCTGATGTGTATGTGCTTTTTCCTGCCTGGCTATCCTGTAGCTTTATCTAAGGCAAATCGGAGTACGTGTAAATAAATTAGTTCAACCATTGTGGAAGACAGCGTGGCGATTCCTCAAGGATGTAGAACTAGAAATACCGTTTGACCCAGCCATCCCGTTACTGGGTATATACCCAAAGGATTATAAATCACTCTACCATAAAGACACATGCACACGTATGTTTATTGAGGCACTGTTCACAACAGCAAAGACTTGGAACCAACCCAAATGCCCATCAATGATAGACTGGATACAGAGAATGTGGCACACAGACACCATGGAATACTATGCAGCCACGAAAAAGGATGGGTTCATGTCCTTTGCAGGGACATGGATGAAGCTGGAAACCATCATTCTCAGCAAACTCGCACAGGAACAGAAAACCACACACCGCATGTTCTCACTCCTAAGTGGGAGCTGAACGATGAGAACACAGGGACGCAGGGAGGGGAACATCACACACCGGGGCCTGTCAGTGGGTTGCGGGCCAAGGAGTGGGATTGCATTAGGATGCTATCCTAATGCTAACAAATATCTAATCCATCCAGGGCTTAACACCTAGATAAGGGACCTCCTCTGAATAATTAATATACTCCTGGTGATAGATGATCCGCACGGTCTGGATATTAGGTTATCAATCACGACCCACTTGTTTTAACGTAATCCTATTGAACACGTGTCAGGAGCTGTTTACCCAGAGGTGACAGCTACACAGCACCCCCATTTCCAGCCAGAAAATCGTACCATTTCCTTTCCTTCGACTGCCGCTTCCCGACCCCTTTCCCCGTTTCCGGCCAGAAAATCGTACCATTTCCTTTCCTTAACCTGCCGCTTCCTGACACTTTCCCCCCAGTGTTTTAGTACAGATGGAGTTTCACCATGTTGGCCAGGCTGGTCTTCGATGGGTGACTTCAGGTGATCCGCCTGCTTCAGCCTCCCAAAGTGCTGGGATGACAGGCGTGAGCCACTGTGCCCGGCCTCCAGTGTTTTTCAAATTGTGGTAAAACGCACATAACACAAAGTCTAGAGCATTAACCATGTATTTTGTTTTAAGACAGAGTTTCACTCTTGTCGCCCAGGTTGGAGTGCAATGGCATGATCTCGGCTCACTGCAAACTCTGCCTCTTGGGTTCAAGCGATTCTCCTGCCTCAGTCTCCCGAGTAGCTGAGATTACAGGCGCCCGCCACCACGCCCGGCTAATTTTTTGTATTTTTAGTAGAGACCGGGTTTCCCCATGTTGGTGAGGCTGGTCTTGAACTCCTGACCTCAGGTGATCCACCTGCCTCAGCCTCCCAAAGTGCTGGGATGACAGGCGTGAGCCACCGTGCCCGGCCGGCATTCACCGTGTGTAAATGTACACAGCAGTTTGAACTGCAGTTGGCTTCTGCAGCCATCACCACCATCCGTATCTCCAGAAGTTTCTCATCTTCCCAAACAGAAACCCTGTTCCCCTTACACACTCACTCCCTTTCCCCGGCTGCCATCAACCTCCTCTCCATCTCCATGACTCTGAGGACTCCAGGGACCTCCTGTAAATGGAATCCCACAGTGTGTATCTTTTTTTTTTTTTTTTTTTTTTTTTTTGAGATGGAGTCTTGCTCTGTCGCCCAGGCTGGAGTGCAGTGGCGCGATCTCGGCTCACTGCAAGCTCCGCCTCCCGGGTTCACGCCATTCTCCTGCCTCAGCCTCCCGAGTAGCTGGGACTACAGGCGCCCGCCACCACATCTGGTTAATTTTTTTGTATTTTTAGTAGAGACGGGCTTTCACCGTGTTAGCCGAGATGGTCTCGATCTCCTGACCTCATGATCCGCCTGCCTCGGCCTCCCAAAGTGCTGGGATTACAGGCGTGAGCCACGGCGCCCGGCCCCACAGTGTTTATCTTTCTGTGTCTGGCTTCGTCACTGCTCCAAGACTCACGTTTGTTGTAGCAAGCGCCAAATTTTCTTCCTTTTGGCTGGCTTATGAGGATTTTAGGAGGGACTTCAGTCTCCCAGTTTGTTATTTATTTTCTACGTGCTTTCTACGTCACGCGTTTCCTGTGTTTCTGTCCTCTTGTGTGTTTCATTGATTTATTTTTATTTTTGTAGACACGAAGTCTTGCTCTGTCACCCAGTGAGACTCCAACTCCTGGGCTCAAGCAATCCTCCTGCCTCAGCCTCCCGAGTAGCTGGGAGCACAGGCATGCACCACCACGCCTGGCTAATTTTTTTTTTTTTTTTTTTTTGGTAGGGACAGGCTCCTGGGGAAGAGGGGGAAGGAAAGGAGTGGTCTTGGGCCCTGTATTGTAGGAGTTTCTGGGCTTCTAACAACAGCAACTTGTTTTCTCCCAGTCCCGGTGTCCAGGAGTCTGAGATCAAGGTGTAGGCAGGACCACAGTCCCTCCAGAGGTTCTAGGGGAGGGTCCTTCCTGCCTCTCCCAGCTCCCGGGGGCTCCAGGCTTCCTGGGCTTGTGGCCGCGTCACTCCAGTCTCTGCCTCCGTTCTCCACGTGGCCTTCTTCTCTGTGTCTGTGTCTTCTCTTCTGTCTCTTACAAGGACACCTGCCATTGCATTTAGGGCCCAGCCTACTCCAGGATGACCTCATCTCAAACTTCTTGAGTTAACTGTGTCTGCAAAGACCCTATTTTCAAATAAGTTCTCATTCACAGATACTGGGAGCTTAAAACAACAGAAATTTATCCTCTCCCAGTCCTGCAGACCAGGAGTCTGAGATGAAGCGGTCTCAGGGCTGAGCTCCCTCCAGAGGCCCTAGGGGAGGGTCCTTCCTGCCTCTCCCAGCTCCTGGGGGCTCCAGGCTTCCTGGGCTTGTGGCCGCATCACTCCAGTCTCTGCCTCTGTTCTCCACGTGGCCTTCTCCTCTGTGTCTGTGTCTCCTCTTCTGTCTCTTAGAAGGACACCTGTCAATGGATTTAGGACTCACCTAATCCAGGATCATCTCATTTCGAAATCCTTGACTTAGTTACATCTGTAAAGACCTCATATCCGAATAAGATTCCATTCATGGGTTGAGGGAGTTAGGATGTAGACATAGCTTTTCGGGGAGACTATGGTTCAACCCATTCCGATTGTATCCAGTTCCTTCTGGAGGTTCTAGGGGAGGGTCCTTCCTGCCTCTCCCAGCTCCTGGGGGCTCCAGGCATCCCTGGGCTTGTGGCCGCCTCACTCCAGTCTCTGCCTCCGTCTCCACGTGGACTTCTCCTCTGTGTCTGTGTCTCCTCTTCTGTCTCTTAGAAAGTCACCTGTCATTGCATTTAGGGTCCACCCTCATTCATGATCATCTCATCTCAAGATCCTTCACTTAATCACATTTGCAGAGACCCTATTTCCAAACGATATCTCATTCTAGGTTCTGGGCTTTAGGATGTGGACAGATCTTTCTGGGGGCCACTGTTCAATCCATTACAATTGTATCCACTTCCTTGTAGAGGTTCTAGGGCAGGATCCTTCCTGCCTCTCCCAGCTCCTGGGGGCTCCAGGTGTCCCTGGGCTTGTGGCCGCATCACTCCAGTCTCTGCCTCCGTCTCCACGTGGACTTCTCCTCTGTGTCTGTGTGTCCTCTTCTGTCTCTTACAAGGACACCTGTCATTGCATTTAGAGCTCACCTAATCCAGGATGATCTCACCTCAAGATCCTCAACTTAATTACATCTGCATGTGTGAGTGGCTTCCCGGAGACACCCCTTTTCTCTCCCATTCCTTTTTCTTTTTCCCTACCATGGAGGACGAGGACACGCACGCACGGGAACTCAAGTTTCACCCCGTGAGTATTTTAGGCGTGGGGCACTTTCAGCCCAGGTGTATGAAAATGGTCTCATTAAGGGGACTGCTCGGATGACACATCCAGTGAGGGTGGCATTGCCTGTGTGGCAGTTCAAAGAATCGGAGACAAGCTCTAGAGAGAGCGAGGACACACACAGGTGCACGCATCACACACACACACGTGCACACGCGGGCACGCACACACAGGTGCACACGGCCATCACCCCGGCCGCGTGAGAGTGTTGCTTATATCGAAACCGTCTTCAGCCCAGAAGGTCACTCGTGGCAATAATGGTCTCGTTAGACACGCCATCCATCATTCAAATAATCGCAATTTAGAGCCCGCGTTTCATGCCGGGCTGGTTTAATCACCAGCAGCAGTTTGTGAAGGGCCTCATTCGCCTGGGATTCGGGGATATTGCGTGATTTAGCAGACGTGACCCCTGACCTCTGCGGGGGGCGGAGAGCCTGCCTTGGAGGCAAAAGCGGAACAGCGAGGGTGACTCACTCAGGGACAATTATTATGCTTAACAGCCTCACTGTCATCTTAGAAGGAAAAAGAGCCAAAAAAAAAAAAAAAATCCATAGGATGCTGAGCATTCCTTCCAGATCCTTCAGCATTCCTTCCAGATCCTTCAGCATTCCTTCCAGATCCTTCAGCATTCCTTCCAGATCCTTCAGCATTCCTTCCAGATCCTTCAGCATTCCTTCCAGATCCCAGTTTAGAAGAAGGCAGTGGGGTCGGTTTAAATGCACCCAGCGTGCTCCCGAAGATAATGTTTTTGTTTCTGTAGACGCGGTGGCAGCTTTCTGGCGATTTCTAGGCAATGTACAGGAGGAAAGAAAGAAGGAAGGGGAGGGCACGGAGAAGCTCCGGAAGGCTGGATGCTTGGGGAAGGAGGTCAGGAGGCAGGACCGGCCGGCCGCCCTCCAGACGTCCAGATGTCCAGACGTCCAGCCAGCCGGACACCGGTCTGCACCTGTCACAGGTGAGCAGCATTTGTTAGCGACGTCTGCACAGGCATCAGTTGGGTAAAGGATGTTCCCGTGTTGTACCTGGAGCGAGTTAGAGAAAACGCCACACTTTGAGACGAATTAAGAGTCCGTTTATTTAGCCGGCGGCCAAGAGACGGCTAACGCTCAAAGTTCTCTCGGCCCCGAAGAAGGGGCTAGATTTTTTTTTTATACTTTGGTTTAGAAAGGGGAGGGGGATCTAGCGAAAACCATTTTACAGAAATAAAGTAGGCAAAAAAGTTAAAAGGATAAATGGTTACAGGGAAGTAAACAGGTGCAGGGCCTTTAAGACTATTACAAGGTGATAGACGCAGGGCTTCGGGCGTTAGTAATCAGACGAATTCCTGGGAATTGCGGATATAGCTCGCCACAGTATCTTATCAGTTAATTGCATTCTTGGATGTGCTGGGAGTCAGCTTGCACGAGTTCAGTCCTTGAGGAAGGGGCTGCCAGTGAAAGAGCCATGATGGAGTCTGTCTGGTTCTCTTAGCTAAGGGTGAGTCCATTCAGGTGGAAACAAGGCTAGGTGATTGAAGGAAAAGGGAGAGTCTAAAAACAGGGTTAGTAAAAAGGAGGTTGGGCATTACAGGTGAAACCCCGTCTGCCCGAGCCAGCAAACGCTGCTCACCCGTGACAGGTGCAGACCCGGTCTCCGGCTGGTCCTGCCTCCTGGCCTCCTTCCCGAAGCATCCAGCCTTCCGGAGCACAGGCAGACGGGTACAGGATGGTCCCCAGGCCCTCATTCACTTGGAAGCAACAGGAGAAAATCCTCTATTGCATTTCTGCAGCCGTCCGCATTTCTGCGCACAGAGACGGTTAAATGCTTGTCATTTAACTTGTCATTCTCTCCATAACACAGTGTTCTATTTTTATTTCCATCGGTGCAAAGCTCATCACTCTCCGTCCCCTCCTGCCTGGGATGCTTGCAGCCCCCTTCCTGAGACGGTGGCGATCCCCCAGTACCAGATTTTTGGTGATCCCAGGGGGCCACGGGCTGTGCCTGGCATCTCTCTCATGAAACATCTCTTTTTCTTGTGATCATTTAAAATTCATCCTCGCTCCAAAGAAGGTATCTGTGTAGCAGTGTTGCCTCCGTGAGCCGTCCTGATTTTTTTTTTCCGGTATTTCAAAGGGAGGTTAGGGGATCGGGTTATTTTTGGTGAGAACAGCGGGAAACCAAGCCTTGACTTCTCGAGTCCCTGGGGTGCAGGAGAGGGGTCTCTGAGGACCATGCTGGGAAAATAACTCATCCCTCCTTTGGTCATCTTTGGAGATGAGCTGAAACCAGGCGGGGCTCTAGTCACTTATTTATCTGCTTCTTAAATTTTATTTTATTTATTTATTTTTTTTGAGACAGAGTCTTGCTCTGTCACCCAGGCTGGAGTGCAATGGTGCGATCTTGGCTCACTGCAACCTCCGCCTCTCGGGTTCAAGCGATTCTCCTGCCTCAGCCTCCCGAGTAGCTGGGACTGCAGGCACCCACCACCACGCCCGGCTAATTTTTTGTATTTTTAGTAGAGACGGGGTTTCACCGTGTTAGCCAGGATGGTCTCGATCTCCTGACCTCGTGATCCGCCCGCCTCGGCCTCCTAAAGTGCTGGGATGACAAGCGTGAGCCACCGTGCCCGGCCCAAAGATGCCTTTTAATAAACAAGGTATTTGGGAGGCTGAAGAGGGTGGATGACCTGAGGTCAGGAGTTCGAGACCAGCCTGGGATGACAGGCGTGAGCCACCGCGCCCGGCCTCATGCCTCCTGTTTTTAGGACATACAGGGTAACTTCCTGCGTGGCTATGACATCTGTAAATGGTCCTGGTGCTGGTGGGAGTGTCTTTTAGCAGCAAATGAATTACAGTTAGTGTAAGGTACAATTAGTGCGGTGAGGACAACCTGAGGTCACTTTCGTTGCCATCTTGGTTTTGGCGGGATTTGGCCGGCTTCTTCACTGCGAGCTGTTTTATCAGCAACTCTTTATGACCTCTGTCTTGTGCCAACCTCCTATCTCAACCTGTAGGTTAGAATGCCTTAACCTGGGGAGGCCGAGGCAGGTGGATCACCTGAGGTTGGGAGTTCCAGATCAGCCTGACCAACATAGCGAGACCCCGTCTCTACTAAAAATACAAAATTAGCCAGGCGTGGAGGTGCATGCCTGTAATCCCAGAACTTTCGGAGGCCAAGGCGGGCGGATCACCTGAGGTCGGGAGTTTGAGACCAGCCTGACCAACATGGCGAAACCCCGTCTCTACTAAAAATACAAAATTAGCCGGGCGTGGAGGCTCGCACCTGCAATCCCAGAACTTTGGGAGGCCAAGGTGGGTGGATCACGAGGTCAGGAGTTCAAGACCAGCCTGGCCAGCACGGTGAAACCCCGTCTGTAATAAAAATACAAAAATTAGCCGGGCGTGTGGTGGCGCGTGCCTGTAATCCCAGCTACTCAGGAGGCTGAGGCAGGAGAATCGCTTGAACCCGGGAGGCGGAGCTTGCAGTGGAGCTGAGATTGCACCACTGCACTCTAGCCTGGGTGAGAGAGCGAGACTCTGTCTTAAAAAAAAGAAAAAAAAAAATCTGAACCTTCTGAGAATGCAGCCCAGAAGGTCTCAGCCTCATTTTACCCAGCCCCTGTTGAAAGTGGAGTTGCTTTACTTCCAACACCTCTGACACTGCTGTTTGGGAATCTTCCGAATGATTAGAGAGTTATAGAAAGTTAAGGCGCCTTGATCCGGAGAAGCTGGTGCCGTCTCTCTCATGGCGTCTGTGGGACAATTGTCCGGGAAGAGGGCGGCTCTGGGCACTCCGGGGGGCTGGAGGTGGGAGCTTCGTATCCTGGAGGTGGCTGTGTGTTTTGGAGACTCATTGTACCACATAAAACACCCTTAAATATCCTTGCCTTCCCCTGCTATTTTGTATAATAATAATATAATTATATTTTATAATTAATAAAATATTATTTTATAATAATAAATACTATTTTATAATAATAAAATATTGCTTTATAATAAATAAAATATTTTAATAATTAATAAAATATTATTTTTAATAATTAATAAAATAATTGTATAAATATAACGTATAACAAAATATTCTATAGTAATAAAATAATTATATAATAATATAATTAATAAAATAATTTATAATAAATTTTATAAATTTTATAATAAATAATTTTATAATAAATATAACTTGTAATAAAAATTCCATAATAATTAATAAAATAATTATGTAATAATATAATTAATAAAATAATTTTATAATATAATTTGTAATAAAAATTCTATAATAATAAAATAATTATATATTATGTGATATTACTACAATAATAATTATATTAATATATAATTATGTATATATATGTTTTTTGAGACGGAGTTTCGCTCTTGTTGCCCAGGTTGGAGTGCAGGGGAGCGATCTCAGCTCACCACAACCTCTGCTTCCCGGGTTCAAGCGATTCTCCTGCCTCAGCCTCCGGAGTAGCTGGGATGACAGGCATGCGCCATCACACCCGGCTAATTTTGTATTTTTAGTAGAGACAGAGTTTCTCCATGTTGGTCAGGCTGGTCTCAAACTCCTGACCTCAGGTGATCCGCCTGCCTCAGCCTCCCAAAGTGCTGAGATTACAGGTGTTAGCCACTGCGTTTGGCCAATATATAATAATAATCGCATATTATTAATTAATATATTATAATTAATATATTATATATAATATAATTACATATTTTACTATGTTAATATATAATATAAAACATTATATGATTAATATGTAATTATATTAATATATTAATATATTTATTATATTTTATATAACATTTACATTATATTATATAACATTTATGTATTGTATTTAATATATAATGATATATAATATTTAATACATAATAATATATATTTATGTATTATATTATACATTATAATATGGTATCTATTTTATAATATAGTAGTAATAATATACTCCCTGGGAAGTATAATACTAATGATTATTATTATTAAGAGACAGGGTCTTGCTCTATTGCCCAGGCTGGAGTGCAGTGGCAGGATCATAGCTCACTGCAGCCTCAACCTCTCAGGCTCAAGCAATCCTCCCGTTTTAGCCTCCTGAGTCACTGGGACTACCGGTGTACACCACCATGCCCAGCTAATTTTTTAATTTTTTGCCTAGAAGGGGAGTCTCACTATGTTGCCTGGCCTGGTTGGGAACCCCTAGGCTCAAGCACTCTTCCCAGCTTCCAAAGTGCTGTGGTGACAGCTGTGAGCCACCGTGCCCGGCCAGGTTGGACAAGTGCTAACATACTGTCCATAACATAAGCTGTATGCCGGATGCATACGGCCGGCCTATAGTTTCTGCAAATCCAGAAAAGCTTACTGCAACTGCAGAAAGAAAAAAAAAAGAAAGAGAGAAAGAGAGAGAGAGAAGGAGGGAGGGAGGGAGGAAGGAAGGAGAGGGAGGGAGGGAAGGAAGGAAGGAAAGAAGGAAGGAAGGAGAGGGAGGAAGGAAAGAAGGAAGGAGACGGAGGAAGGAGAGGGAGGAAGGAAGGAGAGGGAGGAAGGAAAGAAGGAAGGAGACAGAGGGAGGAAGGAGAGGGAGGAAGGAAGGAGAGGGAGGGAGGAAGGAAGGAAGGAGACGGAGGAAGGAGAGGGAGGGAGGAAGGAGAGGGAGGGAGGAAGGAAGGAAGGAGACGGAGGAAGGAGAGGGAGGGAGGAAGGAGAGGGAGGGAGGAAGGAAGGAAGGAGACGGAGGAAGGAGAGGGAGGAAGGAAGGAGAGGGAGGAAGGAAGGAGAGGGAGGAAGGAGACAGGGAGGAAGGAGAGGGAGGAAGGAAGGAGAGGGAGGGAGGAAGGAGAGGGAGGGAGGAAGGAGAGGGAGGGAGGAAGGAGACGGAGGAAGGAAGGAGAGGGAGGAAGGAAGGAGAGGGAGGAAGGAAAGAAGGAAGGAGACAGGGAGGAAGGAGAGGGAGGAAGGAAGGAGAGGGAGGGAGGAAGGAAGGAAGGAGACGGAGGAAGGAGAGGGAGGAAGGAGAGGGAGGGAGGAAGGAGAGGAAGGAAGGAGATGGAGGAAGGAAGGAGAGGGAGGAAGGAAGGAGGGAAGGGAGGGAGGAAGGAAGGAGAGGGAGGGAGGAAGGAAGGAGGGAAGGGAGGGAGGAAAGAAAGAAGGAAGGAAGATTCTAATTCAAATCAGTTGCTTAAGAGGGAGAGATCAGGAAGTTCCCAACTAAAGTGCTGGGGTGACAGGTGTGAGCCACCATGCCCGGCCAGGTTCCCCAGCTGTTTGGACAAGTAGTAACAAGTAGCCAACTGCAAATGCACAAAGAAAGAAGGAGGAAAGAAAGAAAGAGAGAGAGAGAAGGAAGAAAGGAAAGAGAAAGAAGAAAAGAAAAAACCAATTCTAATTCAAATCAGTTGCTTAAGAGGGAGAGATCAGGAAGAAAGAAAGAAGGAAAGAGAAAGAAAGGAAAAGAAGAGAGAAAGAGAGAGAGAAAGAAAGAAAGAAAGAAAGAAAGAAAGACAGAAAGAAAAACAAATCCTAATTCAAATCACTTGCTTAAGAGGGAGAAATAAGGCAATTTCCCACCAGGAGGATGCCGTCTAGATCGGACGGTGTTGTTGGTACGGGACCTGACTCTGAAGTCACTAACAAAACTCCCAGGCTTTGTGCAAAGGAGAACCTCTAAGCCCCCGGGAACGGCGTTTTCTCGCTCGCCACCATGAGTCTGGCTGGCTCGCCTCCTTGTAGAACGAGGTGGCCGCAAGTTTGGCGGCCTCTGGAGAAACGGCGGTGCATTTGTTGACGTAAGAAGTAATGTAGAGGGTGGGGGAGTGTCTGTTCCATGATAATTTCTGAATAGTGCGTTTCTCCGGAGCCATACATCATTGTCAACTCAGAAGATTACACGTACCGTTGCCTTTGTGAACCGGGGACTCGGGGTGGGGGCAAATGTCCCCAAATGCAAATCCGCCTGGTAGATAGAGTGAGATAGATATGAATGTAGACACCACGGGTCTCCTTCCCCGACAACCCACCTTTTTTTGTTTGTTTGTTTTAGGTGATTCAGGGACAAAGCTTTCCTGGAACAACAAGGCTGAAATTACATCATCATTGCAGACGTCCGTCGGCAAGCGGCGTTTTATTTCAAGGCTAGGAGCTGAAATGATCGTGTTCAGTCACGCACACCGTCTATGATAAGGTAGGTCTGGGCGGGAAGGGAGGTGCAGAATACATGCAATCATTCATCGAGATGAAAATAAAGTCAATCGAGCGCTCTCCCCCTGGAGGGAACAGGAAGGCAAACGTTTGTCTGGCTGAAAACACAGGCAAAAAAATTTAGACGTTGTCTATAGCTGCAACCAGATTTGGAGACAGAGGCCAAGCACCTGAATCGTTGCCCCAACTTTCTAGTTTTAACCTGATATTCGGTGTGTCATGTTATTTTGTTTTACTGTCATTTTATTTTATTTCATTTTTTTTGAGATGGAGTCTCGCTCTGTCACCAGGCCGGAGTGCAGTGGCGCGATCTCGGCTCACTGCAACCTCCGCCTCCCGGGTTCAAGCGATTCTCCTGCCTCAGCCTCCCAGGTAGCTGGGACTACAGGCGCCCGCCACCACGCCCGGCTAATGTTTGTATTTTTAGTAGAGACGGGATTTCACCCCGTTGGCCAGGCTGGTCTGAAACTCCTGACCTCGTGATCCACCCACTTCGGCCTCCCAAAGTGCTGGGATGACAGGCGTGAGCCACCGCATCCGGCCTCTACACACACGTTTATATACACACATACCTGACCATATATATGCATACATCTATATTTATCACACATACGTACATAGATGTATGGATTTTGTTACAGACAGAAACTTAATTTAACCATCTCTGACACATTGCTTCTTAAATTATAAAGCCACTTTCCCACTTTCCCAATATCCACTGGTGGCACACTGAATCTGAGTTAGTTCTAAATGTTTCAATGCGATTGTGTGTATATATGCCTTCCTAGAATGGGATGTATACAGCTGGCCTGTGGTCTCTCCCTCCCTAGAGTGAGATGTATACGGTTGGCCTGCAGTCTGTCTTTCTAGTGTGGGATGTATACAGCTGGTCTGTTGTCTCCCTCTGTAGAGTGGGATGTATACAGCCGGCCTGCGGTTTCTTTCTTCCTAGAGTGGGATGTATACAGCCGGCCTGTGGTCTGTCTCTCTAGTGTGGGATGTATACAGTTGGCCTGTGGTGTTTCTCCCTAGAGGGGGATGTATATAGTCAGCCCGTGGTTTCTTTCTTCCTAGTGTGGGATGTATACAGCCGGCCTATGGTCTGTCTCTCTAGTGTGGGATGTATACAGCTGGCCTGTGGCCTCCCTCTCTAGAGTGGGATGTATACAGTTGGTCTGTGGTCTCTTCCTCCCTAGAGTGGAATGTATACAGCCGGCCTGTGGTCTCTCTTTCTAGAGAAGGATGTATACAGCCGGCCTGTGGTCTCCCTCCCAGGAGTGGAATGTATACAGTCGGCCTGCGGTCTCCCTCCCAGGGGTGGGATGTATACAGCCGGCCTGTGGTCTCTCTTTCTAGAGAAGGATGTATACAGCAGCCTGCAGTCTCCCTCCCAGGAGTGGAATGTATACAGCCGGCCTGTGCTCTCCCTCCTAGGAGTGATATGTATACAGCCGGCCTGTGGTCTCCCTCCCTAGAGTGATATGTATACAGTTGGCCTGTGGTCTCCCTCCCAGGAGTGGGATGTATACAGCCGGCCTGTGGTCTCTCTTTCTAGAGAAGGATGTATACAGCCGGCCTGTGGTCTCCCTCCCAGGAGTGGGATGTATACAGTCGGCCTGCGGTCTCCCTCCCAGGAGTGGAATGTATACAGCCGGCCTGTGGTCTCTCTTTCTAGAGAAGGATGTATACAGCCGGCCTGTGGTCTCCCTCCCAGGAGTGGGATGTATACAGCAGCCTGTGGTCTCCCTCCCAGGAGTGGAATGTATACAGCCGGCCTGTGGTCTCTCTTTCTAGAGAAGGATGTATACAGCAGCCTGCAGTCTCCCTCCCAGGAGTGGGATGTATACAGTCAGCCTGTGGTCTCCCTCCCAGGAGTGGGATGTATACAGCCGGCCTGTGGTCTCCCTCCCAGGAGTGGAATGTATACAGCCGGCCTGTGGTCTCTCTTTCTAGAGAAGGATGTATACAGCAGCCTGCAGTCTCCCTCCCAGGAGTGGGATGTATACAGTCGGCCTGTGGTCTCCCTCCCAGGAGTGGGATGTATACAGTCGGCCTGTGGTCTCTCTTTCTAGAGAAGGATGTATACAGCAGCCTGCGGTCTCCCTCCCAGGAGTGATATGTATACAGTTGGCCTGTGGTCTCCCTCCCAGGAGTGGGATGTATACAGCCGGCCTGTGGTCTCCCTCCCTAGAGTGATATGTATACAGTCGGCCTGTGGTCTCCCTCCCTAGAGTGATATGTATACAGTTGGCCTGTGGTCTCCCTCCCAGGAGTGGGATGTATACAGTCGGCCTGTGGCCTTCCTGCCTGGTGTGTATACAGCAGGCCTGTAATGCTCACCTCAACAGGCAGTATTCCTTGGACTCCTGGTCTGCAGACATCCTGGTTCCTCATTCCCTGAAATTCTGCGTGGGACGTTTTTCCGCCTGGGCCTGAGTGACACTGGCTTTGACGTAGCTTCTAGGTGAAGATCAATGAAGGCCTCGGTGGGGCCCAATTTCTTGGTGGAAACTCATCCCGTTTCTGATAAAGGATGGCCCGGGAAGACCTAGAATACGGTGACACCGCGTCCCTCTCCCCCGTGGGTCCCCGAACCTGCAGATGACCACATTTTAGGAACCTTGTATCAGGAGCATGTCTTAATGTTATTACGTCTTTCTCAAAAACAAGATTTTGGATTCCTACGTGACACGGATCCTTCTAGGTCCGCCGGCAGCTATTTGACCAGGCTGTTATTTAAGAGAATGTAGATGATTCCCTAAACCTTCTAGCTCATAAAACGTGGATTGTTAAGATTGACTCCTTCAGGTAAAATTATTGGATTTCATATACCAACTGCTAAAAGGCACTATTCATAGTCTCAAACGGCTTGCGGGAAAAGCTGTTCTAATTTACGTTCCTGCCGGCAGAGCAAGAGGTCGCCCGGGACTTACGCTGTGATGAACATTGAGGTTCATTTTAAAAAGAAAATGAGGAATTCTGCAAATTTCATAGTTTCAAAACGGCATCCATTGTTTTGACTTGGCATTTAAAGACGACTTTTTAGTGGGGGACAATTCTTTTTCATGTTTACAAGCCATGTGTGTTTCTCTTTTGTAAATTACTTGAGATGTTTGCTTATTTTTCCAGTGTTTACCAGTTCTTAGGGCCCTGAACTTCAGAGTCACACAGAACTGGGTTTGAATCCAAACACAACACGACAATTTACTAGCTCCGTTTCTCCGGAGAAGTTAATTTATGCCTTTAATTTTCACTTTCTCCGTCTGTAGCAAATTGCCTAGAGTTTTTATGACATTTAAACCAGATAATATATGTACATTGAGTAGCACAGAATTTTAATGCACAGAAAGCATTCAATAAATAGCAATCATTCTTGTTGATTTGTAAGAGCTCTTTATATATTAAGGACACAGGCTCTTTTATCATTGGCATATTTTATCAATATTTTTCAACTTCTTTTATGCTACTTGAAATTGTTTTTTAAACCTAAAGAGTTTTAAAATTGAATGTAGTCAAATTGATCAGTCTTGTTCATATAATTTCTTCCATTGTTTTTATTCTTGGAAAGTACTTCTGAATGTAGAGATGTAATATTCACCTACATTTTTTTTGTTTTTTTTGGGACAGGGTCTTGCTCTGTCACCCAGGCTGGAGTGCAGTGGCGTGATCTTGGCTCACTGCAACCTCTGCCTCCCGGGTTCAAGCCTTGCCTCAGCCTCCCAAGTAGCTGGAATTACAGGCATGCACCATCATGCCCAGCTAATTTTTGTATTTTTAGTAAAGATGGGGTTTCACCATGTTGGTCAGGCTGGTCTCGAACTGCTGACCTCAGGTGATTTGCCTGCCTCGGCCTCCCAAAGTGCTGGGATTACAGGCATGAGCCACCGCGCCCGGCCCTTCATGTACATTTGAAGCTACATTTCATGACTTAATTTTTATTTATTTATTTTGAGATGGAGTCTGGCTCTGTTGTCCAGGCTGAAGTGCAGTGGTACAATCTCGGCTCACTGCAACCTCTGCCTCCCTGGTTCACGCCATTCTCCTGCCTCAGTCTCCTGAGTAGCTGGGACTACAGGCGCCCACCACCACGTCCAGATAATTTTTTGTATTATTTAGTAGAGACGGGGTTTCACCGCATTAGCCAGGATGGTCTCAATCTCCTGACCTCGTGATCCACCTGTCTCAGCTTCCCAAAGCGCTGGGATTACAGGCATGAGCCACTGTGTGCTGGGATTACAGGCATGAGCCACTGTGTCTGGCCATGTACTTTTAAAACACAGTAATTGGCCAGGCATGGTGGCTCATGCCTGTAATCCCAGCACTTTGGGAGGCCAAGGCAGGAGGATTGCCAGAGGCCAGGCATTCAAGACCAGCCTGGGCAACTTAGGGAGACCCTATCTTTACAAAAAATAAAAATAAAAAAAGTAGCCAGGTGTGGTGTCCCTTGTCTGTGGTCTCAGCTACTCAGGGAGGCAGAGGTTGCAGTGAGCTGTGGTCTCAGCTTGTCTGTGGTCTCAGCTACTCAGGGAGGCTGAAGTGGGAGGATTGCTTGAGCCCAGGAGTTGGAGGCTGCAATGAGCCAAGATTGCACCACCGCCCTCCAGCCTGGGCAGCAGACAGAGACCCTGTAAGAAACACAAAGAGAAAGAGAAGAAAGAGACAGGATGGAAGGAAGGAAGGAAGGAAGGAAGGAAGGAAGGAAGGAAGGAAGGAAAAAGAAGAAAGAAAGAAAGAAAGAAGAAAAGGAAGGAAGGAAAAAGAAAGAGACAGAGGGGAAGAAAGGAATGAAAGAAGAAAAAAGAAAGTAAGAGAAAGAAAAGAAAGAAAGAGGAAGAAAGGAAGGAAGGAAAAAAGAAAGAAAGAGACAGGAAGAAAGGAAGGAAAGAAGGAAAAAAGAAAGACAAGAAAAAGAAACGAAGGGAAAGGAAGAAAGGAAGGAAGGAAGAAAGAAAAGAAAGACAAAGACAGAAAGGAAGAAAGGAAGGAAGGAAGGAAAAAGAAATGAAAGAAAAGAAAGAGAAAAGAGAGACAAAAAGGCTGTAAGAAAGGAAAAGCAATGATGCCTCATACTGGATTAAGTTACCCATGAAATCTAAGCTTGGTTCCTTAAGCCTCGCCTCTTTGAAGAGGAATCCAATTCTGAAATGAATGACACTTTTGGGGGGCCTCATGCCGTGGGGAGCTTAGATTGTCTTTGAAACTGGCCTCTGAGTTGAAATTCCAGGTCCTACCCTTTCCTGCTCAGTCCTCAGACAATTTATAAAACTTGCCTAAACTCACATTTTTATCTGGTAATTTGTGACTTGCAGAATGAACGCAAGAAAACAGAGACGACATTGTAAAGTAGCTGGCCATCGTATTTTTCTTGGAAGAGACAGTATCCTTAAATTAATGCTAATATTTTAAACACTGGCCCACTGATCATGAACACCCAATTCCTGGGTTCCTTGAAATATTTTTGGAAGGGGCGGCCAACCCGTGCCTTCATTCTTGCCCAACACCAGTGGGCTGGATGGGATGTTCGCCGCAGTCTCCACTGCTCCCCGATGTCTCTCTCACATCAGGCCTGCCTTACTGACCTGACCTGCCTCCTCCTGCAAGCATTTGAGTCTGGAATTTTTTTGATGTGCAGAAACAATGCCTGTAAAACACCCAGTACAGGGGTGCTGAAGACATGTTCGTTCAACATGAGCTGAAGCATTCTTAGAGGCAGGTGCTGGTACACCCACATGCACTGGAGACTCTGAGATGAGCATTGCAGACTCTGAGATGTGCACTGGAGATTCTGAATGGGCATTGGAGACTCTGAGATGGACACTGGAGGCTCTGAGCTGTGCTTTGGAGATTCTGAGATGCGCATTGGAGACTCTGAGGTGTGCATTGGAGACTCTGAGATGGACACTGGAGGCTCTGAGCTGTGCTTTGGAGATTCTGAGATGTGCATTGGAGACTCTGAGCTGTGCTTTGGAGATTCTGAGATGTGCATTGGAGACTCTGAGATGGGCACTGGAGACTAAGATGTGCATTGGAGACTCTGAGGTGTGCTTTGGAGACTCTGAGATGTGCTTTGGAGACTCTGAGATGTGCTTTGGAGACTCTGAGGTGTCCATTGGAGACTCTCAGATGTGCATTGGAGACTCTGAGATGGGCATTGGAGATTCTGAGCTGTGCTTTGGAGACTCTGAGATGGGCACTGGAGATTCTGAGATGTGCATTGGAGACTCTGAGATGGGCACTGGAGACTAAGATGTGCATTGGAGACTCTGAGGTGTGCTTTGGAGACTCTGAGATGTGCTTTGGAGACTCTGAGGTGTCCATTGGAGACTCTCAGATGTGCATTGGAGACTCTGAGATGGGCATTGGAGATTCTGAGCTGTGCTTTGGAGACTCTGAGATGGGCACTGGAGACTCTGAGATGTGCATTGGAGACTCTGAGATGGGCACTGGAGACTCTGACGTGTGCTTTGGAGACTCTGAGATGGGCATTGGAGACCCTGAGGTGTGCATTGGAGACTCTGACGTGGGCATTGGAGACTGAGATGGGCATTGGAGACTCTGAGATGTGCTTTGGAGATTCCGATATGTGCATTGGAGACCCTGAGGTGTGCACTGCAGACACTGAGGTGTGCATTGGACACTCTGACGTGGGCACTGGAGACTGAGATGGGTACGGGAGACTCTGAGGTGTGCATTGCAGACTCTGAGGTGTGCTTTAGAGACTGTGAGATGGGCACTGCAGAGGCTGAGGTGTGCTTTGGACACTCTGGTGTTCCAGTATGATGTGATTGCTTTTCAGAGCGGCAGACAGGATGTCCAGCTGGAGCCGGCCAGCAGCAGGACGCTGACTGCGTGAGTGATGCAGCCGCGATTGGTGTTGACGGCCGGCGCGGAACACTCCATCTACATGCAGGTGCTAAGTGAGCCCTGGGGAGAAGGTGACCTGAATACTTGCCAACTGTTCTTTAGAAATTTCTTTAAATGGAAAATATGATTTAGGCAATGTTAAAAAAAAAAAACAAAACCAGACAGAGTCCCAGGATATTAGCACATGGCTCAGAAGACCGGACGCAGAAGGAGGAAAAGTCATGCTCTTTGCCAAGCCCAGTGCTAACTAGACCTTAAACCTGGGCGAATGCACCCATAACGTGGGTGTCTCCACGCCTTCCGTGCAAACTGTGTGTATTTGACAGATGAATGGTTTGTCTCTGGGATGATACTTTTCTGACAGTGCAGCCTGCAGATAACATCTAACGAGGGGAGAAGGATTATGTGAGCAGTGGTGGCTGAGGTCTCTCTCTCTCTCTCTCTCTTTTTTTTTTTTTTTTTGAGATGGAGTTTCACTCTTGTTGTCCAAGCTGGAGTTCACTGGCGTGATCTCGGCTCACAGCAACCTCTGCCTCCCGGGTTCAAGCGATTCTCTTGCCTCAGCCTCCCAAGTAGCTGGGATTACAAGCATGTGCCACCATGCCCAACTAATTTTGTATTTTGTATTTTTCTTTCTTTCTTTCTTTTTTTTTTGAGATGGAGTCTCGCTCTGTCGCCCAGGCTGGAGTGCAGTGGCGCGATCTCGGCTAACTGCAACCTCTGCCTCCCGGGTTCACACCATTCTCCTGCCTCAGCCTCCCGAGTCGCTGGGACTACAGGTACCCGCCACTGCACCCGGCTAATTTTTTGTATTTTTAGAAGAGACGGGGTTTCACCGTGTTAGCCAGGATGGTCTCGATCTCCTGACCTCGTGATCCGCCCGCCTCGGCCTCTCAGAGTGCTGGGACTACAGGCGTGAGCCACCGTGCCCGACTTTTTTTTTTTTTTTTTTTTTTTTTTAGTAAAGACAGGGTTTCTCCATATTGGCCAGGCTGGTCTTGAACTCTTGACCTCAGGTGATGCACCTGCCTTGGCCTCCCAAAGTGCTGGGATTACAAGCGTGAGTCACTGCGCCCGGCCCGAGGTGTCTTATGAGTGGGCAGTGGACTGTGGCTCAGCTCTGGCCCACCTGAAGGTGAAGAGAGGTGGCTTTCTGGCCCTGGGATTAGTCCTGCCTTGTACAAATCTCCACCTCCGAAGGAAGGAAGAACAAGGGATTTATAGAGATGCCTTTGGGAGCTTCAGAAGAAAGAGGGTGTAATCTTGCTGGTTGATATAATTTTGGATGAAGGCACTGTCCTCCAAGCTCACAAACACACAGGACCAGAGAGAAGGACGGAGGAGATGGGGTTTCAGCGAGGGAGGTGGGAGAACAGGCCTGGCCTGTTGGGGGTAGAACGTAGAAGAAAAGGGCAATCTGAGAGATGAACAGGGGACGGTATTAAGTGCGTGCCCCCACACACATGCGCACATGTCCGGAAGGCAAGCACACACCCACCGTCATGAGCCCTCACGTGCAGGTGCATGCACGCATTCTTGCAAACCCCACACATGCACACAAGCCCATATGCATATATGTGTACAGAAGGCAAGCACACATTCACAGTCATGAGCCCTCACGTGCAGGTGCATGCACGCATTCTTGCAAGCCCCACACATGCACACAAGTGCATATGCATATACATGTACAGAAGGCAAGCACACACAGCCATGAGCCCTCACGTGCAGGTGCATGCATGCATTCTTGCAAACCCCACACATGCACACAAGCCCATATGCATATATGTGTACAGAAGTCAAGCACACACTGATAGTCATGAGCGCTCACATACAACTGCATGCATGCATTCATTCAAGCTCCCACATGCACAGATGCACACAGGTATCTCTGCACAGAGGTGTACAGAAGGCAAGCACACATTCAGTCATGAGCCCTCACGTGCAGGTGCATGCACGCATTCTTGCAAACCCCACACATGCACACAAGCCCATATGCATATATGTGTACAGAAGGCAAGCACACACCCACAGCCATGAGCCCTCACGTGCAGGTGCATGCATGCATTCATTCAAGCCTCCACATGCACACAAGCCCATATGCATATATGTGTACAGAAGGCAAGCACACATTCACAGTCATGAGCCCTCACGTGCAGGTGCATGCACGCATTCTTGCAAGCCCCACACATGCACACAAGCCCATATGCATATATGTGTACAGAAGGCAAGCACACACTGATAGTCATGAGCGCTCACATACAACTGCATGCATGCATTCATTCAAGCCCCCACATGCACAGATGCACACAGGTATCTCTGCACAGAGGTGTACAGAAGGCAAGCACACATTCACAGTCATGAGCCCTCACGTGCAGGTGCATGCACGCATTCTTGCAAACCCCACACATGCACACAAGCTCATATGCATATACGTGTACAGAAGGCAAGCACACACCCACAGCCATGAGCCCTCACGTGCAGGTGCATGCATGCATTCTTGCAAACCTCACACATGCACCCAAGCCCATATGCATATATGTGTACAGAAGGCAAGCACACATTCACAGTCATGAGCCCTCATGTGCAGGTGCATGCACGCATTCTTGCAAGCCTCACACATGCACACAAGCACATATGCATATACGTGTACAGAAGGCAAGCACACATTCACAGTCATGAGCCCTCACATGCAGGCGCATGCACGCATTCTTGCAAGCCCCACACATGCACACAAGCACATATGCATATACATGTACAGAAGGCAAGCACACACAGCCATGAGCCCTCACGTGCAGGTGCATGCATGCATTCTTGCAAACCCCACACATGCACACAAGCCCATATGCATATATTTGTACAGAAGTCAAGCACACACTGATAGTCATGAGCGCTCACATACAACTGCATGCATGCATTCATTCAAGCTCCCACATGCACAGATGCACACAAGTATCTCTGCACAGAGGTGTACAGAAGGCAAGCACACATTCAGTCATGAGCCCTCACGTGCAGGTGCATGCACGCATTCTTGCAAACCCCACACATGCACACAAGCCCATATGCATATATGTGTACAGAAGGCAAGCACACATTCACAGTCATGAGCCCTCACGTGCAGGTGCATGCACGCATTCTTGCAAGCCTCACACATGCACACAAGCCCATATGCATATACGTGTACAGAAGGCAAGCACACACAGCCATGAGCCCTCACATGCAAATGCACATGCACATACACGCACAATGCAAAGCACACACTCCTAGTTTTGTGCATTCACTGTGTATGTGTGTCTGCATGTGCTCATGCGCCCTGATCCATGTGTGACTGTGTATGTGTGTGTCTGTGTGTTGTGCGCACTGATCTGTGTTACTGTTTATGTGTGTGAGTCTGCAGACACACACATACACAGTCGCACAGGGATCAGTGCGCATGAGTACACAGACACACACATACACAGTCACACACATGTGCACACACCCACAGGTAGAAACGTGCACCCACACACATCTATTTTCATGGCAACAGTCACACACAGATCAGTGCATGTGAGTATAGATACAGACTCACACACATACACAGACACACACGGATCAGTGCGCATGAGCACACACAGACTCACACACATTAACAGTCGCACACAGATCACCTGAGGCCAGGAGTTGGAGACCAGTCTGGCCAACACGGCAAAACCTGCCTCTACAAAAAATACAAAAGTTAGCCAGGTGCGTTGGCGTGCACCTGTCATCCCAGCTACTCAGGAGGCTGAAACAGGAGAAACGCTTGAACCCAGGAGGTGGAGGTTGCAGTGAGCTGAGATCACACCACTGCACTCAAGCCTGGGCGACAAAGCGAGACTCCGTCTCAAAGAAAAAAAAAAAGAAAGAAAAAGAAAAAAGGGACGCGCTGGGCAAGGGGAAGTTGTTAGAAGCCCTGAGTCCCACACATGAGGGTCCTGACAACTTTTCTTCGTGATTCCGTATTTTAAAAGTAAATCTCCTTTCTGGGAACTTTTAATACCATTTTGGTTACGCGTCTAATCCACCTGCTCCTTAACCAGAAATGGTAATCACGTGGAAATCACTGCCAAACTATGATGTCCAATTAAAATTCAGGTTATTTTGTGGGAGGCAAACGCACCCCCCAGCCTCTCTCTTTTTAAACCGTCATCTTACAAATCCTCTGATAGAAAGTTCGGGCTGTTTTGAGGGAGAGCTTGTCATCAAGAGCCATCTGGCTTCCTCAGTCATGACAGATTAAAATAGGATACAGTATGAAAGCTTTGCCACCCCTCCAGGGGCGAAAGAAGTCACTGGGGGAAAGAGGTAATTAAAAGATCCCCTTGCAGAGACGGGCTCTGAGAGGGACCCTGGCACTCACCAACGGCAAAAAACTCATTTTCCAGAAGAGAGCAGGCCCCGGCCGGCCGGACATCGATGGCCTCGGAGCCACTCTGTCTCCTTTGGGGACGAAGGTGGGCTGGCTCTCGTAACCCCTTAGCTTTGTCTGGCCAGCACCCTTGGCTTTGTCTGGCCAGCACCCTTCTCTCCGTCTGGCCAGCACCCTTCTCTCCTCCTGTCCATGGCCATCAAGCGGCCAGGACTTGATAGCCGTGGAAATTGCACCTGATGAAATGGACGTAATGAGTGTCATGAAGAAACAGGATTGTTTCTCCCCAAAACAGGAGGTCGCAAGGATGTCTCGATTTTCAAAGCCTGCAAGGAAAAAAGGTGACATTCCCCGTCGTGGGACATCCCCTCGCAAGGAGCCGACTCATGATTCCCACCTAGATAGTAAATACCACTCACGCCTGTCATCCCAGAGCTTTGGGAGGCGGAGGCGGGCGGATCATGAGGTCAGGAGATCGAGACCATCCTGGCTAATACGGTGAAACCCCGTCTCTACTAAAAATACAAAAATTAGCTGGGTGTGGTGGTGGGTGCCTGTAATCCCAGCTACTCGGGAGGCCGAGGCAGGAGAATCGCTTGAACCTGGGAGGTGGACAATGCAGTGAGCCGAGATCTCACCACTGCACTCCAGCCTGGGTGACAGGGCGAGACTCCATCTCAAACAAACAAACCACTCTGGGGTCTGCGTGTGCTGCCTGCGTAGGAAACACTTCCCCATTGTGAATGGGCACCTGTCACACCGTCCCGGTTACCGCTCCGTAACTGACACGAACGATGCCGGAGAGCTGGGAGCTGGGAGCTGGGTGCCCAGCCTTGGAGGCGTGCTCCAAACCACACCTCCCTTTTGAGCTTGGCTGGTATGTAAACGATTGGAAGGATAGTTAATCAAGCAATTCCTCCATCTCACCTAAGTGAACCCAGAGATATTTATTTTCTCTCTCTATAAAGGTGTTCACTCCCCAACTGTTTTTTTTTCTTAAAATGCAGATGGGATCTTGCTACGTGGCACAGGCTGGTCTCAAACTCCTGGGCTTAAGAGATCATCTCACCTTGGCCTCCCAAGTAGCTGGAACTGCAGGGGCACGCCACCACACCTGGCTAATATGTATATATTTTATATATTACATACATATTATATATGACACATATTATATATACTACAGATATATATGTTATATTACATACATAATATACCATATACATTATATTGCATATATAATATACATTATACTACACATAATATGTAATATATTACATATATAAAATATAAAATATATAATGTACACATACATAACTTACATATCACATATATAACACATATATAATATGCAATATAATATACATGTAATATCTAATATATGTAATATATGCAATATTTATATACATGTAATATATGCAATATATATTTTCATATTATATTTTTATATATAAACCTATATTTATAATATATATAAACCTATATTTATATATAATATATAAACCTATATTTATATTAATATATAAACATATTTATATATATTTTTATATTATATATAAACCTACAAATATATATTTATATATATATATATTTTTTTCAGATGGAGACTCCCTCTGTCACCCAGGCTGGAGTGCAATGGCGTGGTCTTGGTTCACTGCAACCTCCACCTCCCAGGTTAGAGATTTTATATATAAAAAATATATAGCTGGAACTGCAGGTTCGAGTGATTCTCTTGCCTCAGCCTCCCCAGTAGCTGGGATTACAGGCGCCCGCCACCACGCCCAACTCATTTTTGTATTTTTAGTAGAGATGGGGTTTCACCATGTTGGCCAGGCTGGTCTCGAACTCCTGACCTCAGGGGATCCACCCGCCTCAGCCTCCCAAAGTGCTGGGATTACAGGCGTGAGCCACCGTGCCCAGCCCAAAGTGATTTTTTTTTTAACTGTCTCTGCCAGCAGACAACCGTTTTAGAGAAATTCGGTGTTTTTTTGTTTTTTTGTTTTTTTTGATGGAGTTTCGCTCTTGTTGCCCAGGCTGGAGTGCAGTGGTGAGATCTCGGTTCACTGCAACCTCCGCCTCCCGGGTTCAGGCGATTCTCCTGCCTCAGCCTCCCGAGTAGCTGGAATTACAGGCGCCCGCCACCACGCCTGGCTCATTTTTGTATTTTTAGTAGAGACGGGGTTTCACCATGTTGGCCAGGATGGTCTGGAGCTCCTGGCCTCAGGGGATCCACCCGCCTCGGCCTCCCAAAGTGCTGGGATGACAGGCATGAGCCACCATGCGCAGCCCAAAGTGACTTTTTTTAACCGTCTCTGCCAGCAGACAACCGTTTTAGAGAAATTCAGTTTTTTTAAATTTTTTTTGAGCGCGTTACATTCCTGAGCTGCTGTCTGGGGCTGTCAAAGCCACGTTGCTCACCTGACCAGGTAAGTCTTGGCTTGGACTGTTTCCCAGGACAAATAACAGGTGTTTTCTCCCATTCCCTGCCCTGAGACATGGGAGTGTCTTTGCTGGAATTATAGCAACTGTGAGCCTCTTCCTGGCCGTCCTGTCGCCTTGGAGTCTTAAGGGAAGGCGCACACGTTATCACAAAGCATATGCATTTGCCCCTGGGCCCCAGAGGTGCTGGATTATGGGGGTACAGGGAAAAGTCTGTCCACACCCCAGTCTTCTGGGATCCATAGGCCAGGGAGAAATCCTCCTTCTGTCTCCGAGAGTCTGACAGAGACAGCATGTCATTATCTTAACAGCTGTAAATCCCAATTATTTCTGAGGCAGAAAATGCACTCTAAAATATGCATGCTTATTTAAAAAAAGAGAAAGAAAAAAAAAACCCTCAAAGATTGCAGTCGTGTTGCTATAATTTAGAGCCCTAAACCTCAGAACCTCCGGATGAGTCTTCGGCTTGATATTGTGAGACCGGCTCTTTCAATCTTGGAGGGATATCTCAGCAAATGCTCCTCTTCCCGTTCTCTGCAAGTGGGGGGAAACCGCCGCTGACCCACGGGGTGACACGCAGCTGAATCATTCCAAAGGGAACCGGGGGCCGGATTGATCTGCGTTGGTCGCTAACGAAGGCTCGTAGGCAAAGCTCAGCGAAGTGGGCTCGGCGGACACAGGGTGGGCTCGGGGCCCCGGGGCCGGGCCTGCTGGTGGAGGCTGGGGATGTCTTTTTGATTTTGTCGTTAGGAAGCCGTACCGTAGTCTCTCCGAGGCGTTGGGTGAAATTCACAGATTTCATCTTCCGTGAACTGTGGCTCACTTTTTGATATATATATATATATTTTTTCCCCCGATTGCTTGATGTCACCCTGTGCTTTTTCCATAAGACAAATGCAAATGAGCCAGGCATTCTAACGAGGCGAGCCCTCGGAGGTGACCTCTTTCTGGGGAAGCTCCGGTCTGCAAAACCACGATGAGAGAGGAAAACGTTTTTTTTTTTTTTTGCAGAGAAAACTCAGGCCTGCTGTTTAATCAGGGCCTTTGCTGCGGCCGCTGCTCCTGCAGACACAGAGGCGTTAATGAGGCAAGACTAGTCCCCATGTCCCCACGTTGGAGGCCTGGGATGAGGATCCCTTCTCTGTCCCCCATGTCTGCATCCCAGGACGCAGGTGGATCCGAGTCTGCTGCATAGACGGCCATTAGGTCCCAGGATGGAGCTGGATTCGAGCCTGCTGTGTAGACGGCCATTAGGTCCCAGTCCCAGGATGGAGCCGGATTCAAGCCTGCTATGTAGATGGCTATTAGGTCCCAGGATGCAGGTGGATCTGAGTCTGCTGCATAGAAGGCCATTAGGTCCCAGGATGGAGCTGGATTCGAGCCTGCTGTGTAGACAGCCATTAGGTCCCGGGATGCAGCTACATCTGAGCCTGCTGCATAGATGGCCATTAGGTCCTGGGATGGAGCTGCATTGGACCCTGCTGTGTAGACAGCCATTAGGTCCCAGGATGCAGCTACATCTGAGCCTGCTGCATAGATGGCCATTAGGTCCTGGGACGGAGCTGCATTGGACCCTGCTGTGTAGAGAGCCATTAGGTCCTGGGATGTAGCTGCATCCGAGTCTGCTGTGTAGACGGCCATTAGGTCCCAGTCCCAGGATGGAGCTGGAGTTGAGCCTGCTATGTAGATGGCTATTAGGTCCCAGGACGCAGGTGGATCCGAGTCTGCTGCATAGATGGCCATTAGGTCCCAGGATGGAGCTGGATTCGAGCCTGCTGTGTAGACGGCCATTAGGTCCCAGTCCCAGGATGGAGCTGGAGTGGAGCCTGCTATGTAGATGGCTATTAGGTCCCAGGACGCAGGTGGATCCGAGTCTGCTGCATAGATGGCCATTAGGTCCCAGGATGGAGCTGGATTCGAGCCTGCTATGTAGATGGCTATTAGGTCTCGGGATGCAGCTACATCTGAGCCTGCTGCATAGACGGCCATTAGGTCCTGGGACAGAGCTGCATTGGACCCTGCTGTGTAGACAGCCATTAGGTCCCAGGATGTAGCTGCATCCGAGTCTGCTGCATAGATGGCCATTAGGTCCCAGTCCCAGGATGGAGCTGGATTCGAGCCTGCTGTGTAGACGGCCATTAGGTCCCAGTCCCAGGATGGAGCTGGAGTCGAGCCTGCTGTGTAGACGGCCATTAGGTCCCAGTCCCAGGATGGAGCTGGATTCGAGCCTGCTATGTAGATGGCTATTAGGTCCCGGGATGCAGCTACATCTGAGCCTGCTGCATAGACGGCCATTAAGTCCTGGGACGGAGCTGCATTGGACCCTGCTGTGTAGACAGCTATTAGGTCCCGGGATGCAGCTACATCTGAGCCTGCTGCATGGACGGCCATTAGGTCCTGGGATGGAGCTGCATTGGACCCTGCTGTGTAGACAGCCATTAGGTCCCGGGATGCAGCTGCATCTGAGTCTGCTGCATAGATGGCCATTAGATCCTGGGACGGAGCTGCATTGGACCCTGCTGTGTAGACAGCCATTAGGTCCCAGGATGTGGCTGCATCTGAGCCTGCTGTGTAGACGGCCAAAATAAATAACAAAACTGTGTTGGCAGGCGGTGACCGACAGACGAACCACTGGGCTCTCATCCCGGCCGGCCCTTTGAGTTGTTTAAGTTCCTCTTGTACTTGAATTGTTTCCCCAGAACGAGGTGGATCAAAGTGTCATACAGTAACAGCCCAGACAGACGATAGGTATGGCAGAAAAGAAAAAAACTAAAAAAAAAAAAAAAAAAAAAAATCGCATGGGAAGTTTCCCCGCCTCCTCTTTGGCCATTCTGTGCCCGGAGATCAAAGTTCTCATTTCAGCTCTAATTAAGAAAAACTAACACAGAGCCAAGGCCTTCTGGCTCCGAAGAGGGCCTTTGGTGGATCACTGCTGAAATCTTCCCGAGATTTAAATAATTAATATGACACCTTGAGCTCTGCACGGAGAAATTAAAAAAAAAAAAAACAAAAAAGGGAAAGGGAAAGGGGAGGAAGGGGGCCCCGTGTCGGAGCGGGGAACAATGGGATTGAGGATATGGCAGAGCATTTGTACCCCTGGATGCGTGCAGCCCTCCTTTGTCATGCTAAAGGGGAACCTTTATTTTCTGTGGTCACCCCGGGTGCTCAGAGCCTCTAGGAGGATCCTTTCGGAAAGCAAGTCTGCTGTGGGGAGTTGGAGGACGCTCATTTAATGCTTTTTAATCCTGTTAATCCCAGGCAGAATGGCCATCCCCAGCGCAAATCCGGTCCCCAAAGCCCTCCCCGGCTTGCCAGAGCCAGGCTCCCTCCCAGACGCTCCCGGGAAGCATCTCTTCTGCGAGCCGGCCTGTCTCTGTGCTGGGTTCCCGGAGCCATCTGAGCCAGCACAGGCGACGAGAAATTAAAATCAGGCCTGGCATTGTGCTACGTCTCTGTGCTGGGTTCCCGGAGCCATCGTGAGCCAGCAGAGGCGACAAGCAATTAAAATCAGCTGCAAATCCTACGGCCGGAGCGTCCGGGGAGTGCAGGACGGGACCAGCCAGGCCTCGAACCCCCGTCCCTCTGGATGGGGTCGAGTCTGAAGATTCCTCCTCCTGCCCAGGACTGTTCAGATCCTCGGTGGAGTGTGGACACGGATTAGTCGTCCACTGCTGCAGACGAGATCAGAGCCAAGCCTCGGTATTCAGTTCGTTACAACTTCATAAAGCCAGGTCGCTCCCCCTCTGCCTCTGTACGCAGGAAGAAAATCGATCGGTCTAATTTCATAGCTCAGCATAAAACTCGACGGAACCTTTGCAAAGGCAATGATAAAAAAGATCCCGGAAAAAGCCGACAGTCTCCACGGCATGACGGCGCGGCCGCAGCTGAATAAACTCGGGGTGGGCGGCCAACCCTGCTGCATAGACGGCCATCAGGTCCCAGGATGGAGCTGGATTCGAGCCTGCTGTGTAGACACCCATTAGGTCCTGGGACGGAGCTGGATTCGAGTCTGCTGCATAGACGGCCATTAGGTCCCGGGACGGAGCTGGATTCGAGCCTGCTGTGTAGACAGCCATTAGGTCCTGGGATGGAGTTGGATTCGAGCCTGCTGTGTAGACAGCCATTAGGTCCTGGGACAGAGCTGGATTCGAGTCTGCTGCATAGACGGCCATTATGTCCCGGGATGGAGCTGGATTCGAGCCTGCTGTGTAGACAGCCATTAGGTCCCGGGACAGAGCTGGATTCGAGTCTGCTGCATAGATGGCCATTAGGTCCCGGGATGGAGCTGGATTCGAGCCTGCTGTGTAGACAGCCATTAGGTCCTGGGATGGAGTTGGATTCGAGCCTGCTGTGTAGACAGCCATTAGGTCCCGGGACGGAGCTGGATTTGAGTCTGCTGCATAGATGGCCATGAGGTCCCAGGACGGAGCTGGATTCGAGCCTGCTGTGTAGACATCCATTAGGTCCTGAGACGGAGCTGGATTCAAGTCTGCTGCATAGACGGCCATTAGGTCCCGGGACGCAGGTGGATCCAAGTCTGCTGCATAGATGGCCATTAGGTCCCAGGATGGAGCTGGATTTGAGTCTGCTGCGTAGATGACCATTAGGTCCTAGTCCCAGGATAGAGCTGCATAGGAGCCTGCTGTGTAGACAGCCATTAGGTCCCAGTCCCAGGATGGAGCTGGAGTCGAGCCTGCTGTGTAGACAGCCATTAGGTCCCAGTCCCAGGATGGAGCTGGAGTCAAGCCTGCTGTGTAGACGGCCATTAGGTCCCAGGATGCAGGTACATCCTAGTCTGCTGCATAGACGGCCATTAGGTCCCAGTCCCAGGATGGAGCTGCATAGGAGCCTGCTGTGTAGACAGCCATTAGGTCCCAGTCCCAACACACACAAACCACAGTAAACACATACACTATGCACAACACAGATGCCACACCACACACACACAACACATAAAATACACACTACACACAAAACACCTACTGCACACAACACACAGAATACACACTACACACAGCACACACAAACCACACTAAACACATATGCTATGCACAACAAAGATGCCACACAACACACACACATAGAACACACAAAATATACACAACACACACAAACCACACTAAACACATATGCACAACACAGATGCCACAGAACACACACACATAAAACACGCAAATACATACTATACACAACACAGCACAAACCACACACTGCACACACAAATGCACACTACACACAAACCACACAAACCACACTAAACACACACACTCTGCACAGTACAAACACCACACTAAATACACATATACACAAAATACATATGACACACAAAATACATAGAAAAACACAGACTGGCCTCACAAACCACACACACTATGCACAACACAGATGCCACACCACACACACACATATAACACACAAAATACACACTACACACAGCACACACAAACCACACTAAACACATATGCACAACACAGATGCCACACAACACGCACACACCCAACACACAAAATACACACTACACACAACACACACAAACCACAGTAAACACACACTATGCACAATACAGATACCAGACAACAGACACTTACAACACACAAAATACACACTACACACAACACACACAAACCACAGTAAACACATACACTGTGCACAACAGATGCCACACAACACACACACATACAACACACAAAATACACACAAACCACACTAAACACATATTCTGTGCGCAAAACAGATGCCACATAAAACACACACATGCAACACACAAAATACCTACTACATATACACAACACTAAACACAGACGTTATGCACAACACAGATGCCACACAATACACACACAAAACACACAAATACATACTACACACAACACAAACCACACTAAACACACACTGCACCCACAAAATACACATTGCACACAACACATGCAAACCACACTAAACACACACTATGCACAATACAGATACCAGACACCACACACTTACAACACAGAAAATACACACTACACACAACACACACAAACCACACTAAACACATACACTCTGCACAGGACAGACGTCACACTGAATACACACACATAACACATAATCTACAATTACACGCAACAGACGCAGACGTCGCTAAACACACACACTCTGCACAGGACAGACACCACACTAAACACACACACACACAAATGTGGTAGGTCACCCCCACATCATGAGCCCCAAGAGCCAGTTGATTTCTGCCTCAACAACGGTTGATTTGAAGGAACTTACGATGAATTAAGATGTGGACATCTGGCCGGGCGCGGTGGCTCACGCCTGTAATCCCAGCACTTTGGGAGGCCGAGGCGCGTGGTGGTCAGGAGGGTTGGATCCTCATGAATGGGATTCATCCCTTATAAAAGAGACTTCAGGCCGGACGAAGGGGCGCCCACCACGAAGCCCGGCTAATTTTTTGTATTTTTGGTACAGACGGGGTTTCACCGTGTTGGCCAGGATGGTCTCGATCTCTTGACCTCGTGATCCGCCCTCCTTGGCCTCCCAAAGCGCTGGGATTACAGGCGTGAGCTACCACACCCAGCTTCTCAATTTTTTAAAACTGAGATTAAGTTTGCATGGCACGCAAGCAATCCTTTCAAAAGTGAACAGTTCAGGGACGTGTGTGTGCATTTACAATGTTGCTGTACATTTACAATGAGAGGGATTGGGGGTGTGTCTGTTTCATAGGGTTCCTTCTGGGGGAGCAAAATATTCTAGGAATAGAATTTTCCAGAAGGAAACCTATCAAACAGTCACAGCCCCAATCCCTCTCTCTCAGCCCCTGGCAGTCACAAAGCTCCTTTCTGTCTCAACGAATTTGTCTGTTCTGCGTTTATTTTTTAATAGACTTGCTTATACATAGAAAAGAATTTCAAAGTTTGGCCACTGCTGTGCTTGCTGCTGGTGGCTATGGGGTCTTGATACTTCTTAGGATATCCCCCTAGGATAACATCAGGGTTCCTGAGGACATCTGACTTCTGTTCTTTTTTTTTTTTTTTTGAGATGGAGTCTCGCTCTTGTCACCCAGGCTGGAGTGCAGTGGCTCGATCTCAGCTCATTGCAACCTCCGCCTCCTGGGTTCAAGCGATTCTCCTGCCTCAGCCTCCCGAGTAGCTGGGATGACAGGTGCCCTCCGCCACGCCCGGCTAATTTTTGTATTTTTAGTTGAGATAGGGTTTCACCATGTTGGCCAGGATGGTCTCGATCTCCTGACCTCAGGTGATCCACCTGCCTTGGCCTCCCAAAGTGCTGTAATTACAGGCATGAAACACCGTGCCCGGCCGAATTCTGTTCTTTTTGTTGACATGGAGTTGCGCCCTCGTCACCCAGGCTGGAGTGCAGTGCTGTGGTCTCGGCTCACTGCAACCTCCGCCTCCTGGGTTCACACCATTCTCCTGCCTCAGTCTCCCGAGTACCTGGGACTACAGGTGCCCACCACCACGCCCGGCTAATTTTTGTATTTTTACTAGAGATGGGGTTTCTCCATGTTGGCCAGGCTGGTCTCGAACTCCTGACCTCAGGTGATTCACCTGCCTCAGCCTCCCCAAAGTGCTGGGATGACAGGCGTGAGCCACCACTCCCAGACTGATTTATTTTCTTTAAACAAAGCCCAGGGGCCACCGTGAGATTATGTCACCTCTCTGTGGTGTTTTTCCCCTTTTTATCCAATATATTGCATTCTGAGACACATTTCTAATGTACAGAAAGAGATGTTCATGCTTCTTGCACTTTTTTTTCAGAAGTTAACGCTAAATCTATGTGTCTTGGCCTCTTAAAAACAAAACAAAACCAAAAAAAACAAACCTACACTTCCATAGTTGAAAAACTGGACTGGTTTTGGGTGCTACCACACACGTCTCACAACAAACACAGTTGAGAATCAAGCGACTGTTTCAATAGCTCATAAATGGTGGTGAGAAAAGCCTGTTTGTAACCACTTCAGCATTTGAAATTAAACTCATCATTTAAGGATTTCTAAAGGTAATCATTTGGTCAACAACAGCAAAAAGTATTCCCTTTCTTGCCTGCCTCCCTCCTTCCTGTCCTTCCCTCCTTCCCTTCTTCCTTCCTTCCTTCCTGTCCTTCCTTCCTTCCCTCCTTCCTTCCTTCATTTCTTTCTTTTCTTCTTTCTCTCTTTCTTTCTTTTTCTTTCCCACAGGGAAAGGGGCGCCGTGAATGTAGCCCATATAGACCTAGAAGAGAGATGATCAGCTATCATCTCTCTCTCTTTCTCTATCTATTAATCTATCTATATATCTTACCTATCGATGTATCTATTATATCTATGTATCTATATCTATTTATGTATTCTATGTATCTATTTTATCTATTTATCTATATCTATTGTATGTATCTATTATATCTATGTATCTATATCTATTTATGTATTCTATGTATCTATTTTATCTATGTATCTATATCTATTTATTCTATGTATCTATTATATCTGTGTATCTATATCTATTTATGTATTCTATGTATCTATTTATCTATATCTATTCTATGTATCTATTATATCTATGTATCCATATCTATTTATGTATTCTATGTATCTATTTTATCTATTTATCTATATCTATTGTATGTATCTATTATATCTATGTATCTATATCTATTTATGTATTCTATGTATCTATTTTATCTATTTATCTATATCTATTGTATGTATCTATTATATCTATGTATCTATATCTATTTATGTATTCTATGTATCTATTTTATCTATGTATCTATATTTATTCTATGTATCTATTATATCTGTGTATCTATATCTATTTATGTATTCTATGTATCTATTTATCTATATCTATTCTATGTATCTATTATATCTATGTATCCATATCTATTTATGTATTCTATGTATCTATTTTATCTATTTATCTATATCTATTGTATGTATCTATTATATCTATGTATCTATATCTATTTATGTATTCTATGTATCTATTTTATCTATGTATCTATATCTATTGTATGTATCTATTATATCTATGTATCTATATCTATTTATGTATTCTATGTATCTATTTTATGTATGTATCTATATCTATTTATTCTATGTATCTATTATATCTATGTATATCTATTTATGTATTCTATGTATCTATTTATCTATATCTATTCTATGTATCTATTATATCTATGTATCCATATCTATTTATGTATTCTATGTATCTATTTTATCTATTTATCTATATCTATTTATTCTTTGTATCTATTATATCTATGTATCTATATTCTATGTATCTATTATATTTATCTATGTATCTATGTATGTATGTATCATCTATCTTATCATGTATTTATTATATCTATTATCTATCTTATCTATCATCTATCTATTGCATCTATTATCTATCTATTATATCTATTTATATCTATCATCTATGTATCTATTATATCTATCATCTATCTTATCTATCATCTATTATATCTATCATCTCTCATCTATGTATCTATGTATTATATCTATCTATCATCTATCTATCCATCTATCTATGTATGTATGTATCTGTCTATTATCTATCTATCCATCTATCTATCATCCAACTGGATTATCAATATCCGTGCTCCCACACATATTTCACTCTCTCTCTCTCTCAACCTTGCCAAAAGCAGGCAGAACGCAGCAGGAAGTGACTCCCTCCCGATCCTTTGCCCCAAGGGGCAGACACCCACCCGTAGGAAGCTGCATTCCTGGGGTCTGTGGTCATGTCACCGTTAGCAATGTGGTACCTGGGCTGGACAAGAGAGTCAATTTACGGCTCTTTTGTGCTGAATATCAGAAAAGCCGATCATTCAATTATCTCAGCGTTACCTTTCACTGGCATTATTTCATTCCTTGAAATGGCTTTTCATTCCAATTATAGGTTTTCATGGAGAAATTGTTGGATAATGTAATAATATTTGCCTCTTGCCGTCCTCTGAGGGCGATGATGAATGTTTAATAAGACACCAAAGTTGCAAAACCATTATGCACTTCTCAAAAGAGAGATGCCATATAAATGAATAATAAGAATAAATTATGCAACTGTATTGGGTAGAAAAAAAAATCAATTACTCTTCTTCTAGTGGCCAGTGATCTACTTTATATGCTGGATTTTAGAGTTAATTAATTAAGTTACGTCCTGTATTAAAAAAACAAACGTGTCAGCTTTTTTACAGTTTTTTGCTTTTCCTGCCCTAATAGCGTGATGGTTCTATGGGGTGAGGTCCCCTACATCCTGATTGAAATGAACGATTTCCCGGTGAAGCTCCGAGTTTCCACTGGAGGGAAAATGGTGACTGTCTCAAGAATTAGCCTGGGAGACCCTGAAGAGCTTCAGAATATGCCACCAAAAAAAAAAAAATACATATATATATATTGCAGGGGCCAGGTGGGGTGGCTCATGGCTATAATCCCAGCACTTTGGGAGGCCGAGGCAGGTGGATCAGGAGGTCAGGAGTTCAAGACCAGCCTGGCCAAGATGGTGAAACCCTGTCTCTACTAAAAATACCAAAAAATTAACCAGGCGTGGTGGCAGGCATCTGTAATCCCAGCTACTCGGGAGGCTGAGGGAGAGGATTGTTTGAACCTGGGAGGTGGAGGTTGCAGTGAGCCGAGATCACGCCATTGCACTCCAGCCTGGGTGACAGAGCGAGACTCTGTCTCAAAAAAAGAAAAAAAAAAAAGCAACAGCTACGGAGGCTAAAAGGTCCCCTCCTTCTGTGTTTAACTGGGAATGTCGGCAACCTTTACACATGATTTGTTTTCTCTGAGGTTGATTAGGAAATGGAAGCCACCTCATCCATGGAACTTACTCCAAAACTCTAATACTCAACATAGGAAGAGCTTGGAGCCGATGGTCTGTTGGGAACTAGGTCATTACTCCCCTTGTTTTCTCTAACCTTATCCAATTTTCCCGGTTATTCCAAGCTCAGAGAAGGAGGGACCTTCGGAAATGATGCTACAACTGAGTGACTTCCCTCTAGTCATAGAAAACTGTTGTTTTTGTTTTTTGGGTTTTTTTGCAAGACACGGTCTCACTCCGCTGCCCACGCTGGAGCACAGTGGTGCAATCATGGCTCGTTGGAACTTCGAACTCCTGGGCTCAAGTGATCCTCCCACCTCAGCCTCCAGAGTAGCTGGGACCACAGGTGTGCACCACCATGCCTGGCAATTTTTTTGTTTTATTTATTTATTTTTTTTAGAGACAGTCTTGCCTTGTTGCTGAAGCTGGTTTTGAACTCCTGACCTCAAGTGATCTGCCTGCCTCAGCCTCCCAAAGTGTTGGGATGACAGGCATGAGCCACCACTCGGGCTATAAAACCAATTTTGAAAAGAGGTGTTGTGTGAACAACCAGCAGTTGAATTACCTGCCAAAGACAACCTTTTGCTTCTCTTTACCTAGGGGTGGCCCTGGGGTCCAATCTCAGCCAATGGAACGGAAGGTAAATATACAAGAGGAGGTGTGGCTAGCACGGCCCCTCCACCTCTACTCCGCTCCTGTCTCTGAGTGTGGCTGTGATGCCCGGATCAGCAGCAGCCTCCTTGCAACCTTGAGGCCACGTGGTGGTGAACAGAAAGGACCTCGGTTACTTGTGGTGTAACTTGAGGCTGCCGTCTTGTGAGTCAGGTGCCTCGTGTTTTATTTTTTACAAGAGTTGTGTTTCTTTCCAAAGATGATTTTGGATTAGAGAGAAAGAGAGAGAGAGAGAGACAGTAGCGTGTCTGGGTCAGATTTTTACAAAATATCACTACTTAAGATACCAACGTAGAAATGAGCCAGCGTCCAAGTCCTGTTCATATATTTTGGCCAACTTTCTTTTTTTCAGTTTTTGTTTGTGTGTTTGTTTTATTTTACTTTAAGTTCTGGGGTATGTGTGCAGAACGGGCAGGTTTGTTACATACGTATACACATGCCATGGTGGTTTTCTGCACCCATCAACCCATCATCTACATTAGGTATTTTTCCTAATGCTCTCCCTCCCCTATCCCCCCACCCCCTGACAGGCCCTGGTGTGTGATGTTCCCCTCCCTGTGTCCATGTGTTCTCATTGTTCGACTCCCACTTATGAGTGACAACATGCGGTGTTTGGTTTTCTGTTTCTGTGTTAGTTTGCTGAGAATGATGGTTTCCAGCTTCATCCATGTCCCTGCAAAGGACATGAACTCCTCCTTTTTGATGGCTGCATAGTATTCCATGGTGTCTCTGTGCCACGTTTTCTTTCTCCAGTCTATTATTGATGGGCATTTGGGTTGGTTCCAAATCTTTGCTGTTGTGAATAGTGCCGCAATAAACATACGTGTGCATGTGTCTTTATAGCAGGATGATTTATAATCCTTTGGGTATATACCCAGTGATGGGATGGCTGGGTCAAATGGTATTTCTGGTTCTAGATCCCTGAGGAATCGCCACACTGTCTTCCATAATGGTTGAACTAGTTTACAGTCCCACCAACAGTGTAAAAGTGTTCCTATTTCTCCACATCCTCTCCAGCACCTGTTGTTTCCTGACTTTTTAATGATCGCCCTTCTAACTGGTGTGAGGTGGTATCTCATTGTGGTTTTGATTTGCATTTCTCTGATGACCAGTGATGATGAGCTTTTTTTTCACATGTTTGTTTGGCCAACTTTTTGATATGTTTAGATATTAGGACCAAGATATCTTCTTCTTCTTATTATTATTTGAGATGGAGTCTCGCTCTGTTGCCCAGGCTGGAGTTTAATGGCACAATCTCAGCTCACTGCAACCTCCGCCTCCTGGGTTGAAGCAATTCTCCTGCCTCAGCCCACCGAGTAGCTGGGATTACAGGCATGCACCACCACACCCGGCTAATTTTGTATTTTTAGTAGAGATAGTGTTTTACCATGACCCTTTTCTTTCCATCAACAGCATTCTCCCTTCTCAAAGTGTATTCTTTTCTAATTCTATAATTAACGTATTTTATTTATGCAAAAAAAAGAATAAAAAGGAGACACTGGACATAATCAGACAGAATAACCTCAGCCTCCTCTTTCAAAGATAAACAGTGTCCCATGTATGTGCTTGCTCTTTTTTTTTTTTTTTTTTTTTTTTGAGATGGAATCTCGCTCTGTCGCCCAGGCTGGAGTGCAGTGGCGTGACAAGGCTCACTGCAAGCTCCACCTCCCGGGTTCACGCCTTTCTCCTGCCTCAGCCTCCCAAGTAGCTGGGACTACAGGCGCCCGCCACCACGCCCGGCTAATTTTTTTTGTATTTTTAGTAGAGACGGGGTTTCACCGTGTTAGCCAGTATAGTCTCCATCTCTTGACCTCGTGATCCGCCCGCCTCGGCCTCCCAAAGTGCTGGGATGACAGGCGTGAGCCACCGCGCCCGGCAAAGGGGTATAAATCTTTTTCAAGTCTAAATAATCCACTTGCCTGTCTCATAACCCAGGAACGTTTCCCCAAGGACCTGGGAGCCACCTCTTTTCAAATGAGATCATGAAGGAGGAAAACGCCCCTAGCTCCAGTGTCTGCGGACGAGAAGGGTCTAAGTTGTCACCTGACTCGAGATTGCAAAAGCCAGCTAAGGCAATGGGCTGTACACACTTACATCTAGCGAAGGGTGAGATTGCTTCGTGTCATTACAACCTCTTTAGTGAATTGCTTGTGATAGGCTTGGCATTCTGGTTTGATGCTGGTTCCACAATAAAATCATTTTCTTTTCTCTTTTACCTTCGTGGTGAGGTCCCCGGGGTTGGCAGATTTTGCTTTTAATGATATTTCTTCAACGCTGTCTCCACCAAGACCTTCAAATCCTTCCGGAGGCAGAGGGCCCTTGAGGATTCTCGGAGGCTTGAACGGAAATTCTCTACAAAGACCTTGCAAAGCCCTACCCAAGGCGGAGAAGATGAAATATCTGTTAATATGATTGTCATGACAATGTTTTCAGAGATTCCTTCCTTTTGGCAGGATATTTACAGTATCTCAGTGTTCAGATTCCAACGAACGCTGTTTCTATCTGTGTCTTAATAAGCCCAGTTGCGCAGAAGGACGTGGCACCCAGAGAGAGCTTGATAAACGTTGGGTTTTTTGACCGTCCTTGGCATTTGATCTTTGACAGGCAAGCGGGCGTGCAGGTAGGTGGTGTCCACGGGGCGGCCAGCTCAGCAGTGATGCTTGTCCCGTGCTCAGCTGTGGCCTGAATGTCTGTGTTACCCAAATTCCTGTGTTGAAATTGTCTCCCCATCCTTAGTTCAACCATTGTGGAAGACAGTGTGGTGATTCCTCAAGGATCTACAACCAGAAATATCATTTGACCCAGCAATTTCATTACTGGGTATATACCCAAAGGATTGTAAATCATTCTCCTATAAAGACACATGTGCACGTATGTTTTTGCGGCACTGTTCACAATAGCAAAGACTTGGAACCAATCCAAATGCGCATCAATGACAGACTGGATGAAGAAAATGTGGCACATACACACCATGGAATACTATGCAGCCATGAAAAAGGATGAGTTCATGTCCTTTGCAGGGACATGGATGAAGCTGGAAACCATCATTCTCAGCAAATTCACACAGGAACAGAAAACCAAACACCGCATGTTCTCACCCATAAGTGGGAGCTGAACAATGAGAACACATGGACACAGGAAGGGGAACATCACACACCAGGGCCTGTCAGGGGGTTGGGGGAAGGTGAGGGAGAGCATTAGGAGAAACACCTAATGTAGACGACGGGTTGATGGGTGCAGAAAACCACCATGGCACGTGTATACCTATGTAACCAACCTGCACGTTCTGCACATGTACCCCAGAACTTAAAGTATAATAAAAAAAAAAAAAAGGAAAGAAATCCTCTCTCCAAAGTTGATGATATTGGGAGGTGGGGTCTTTGGGAGGTGAGGAGGTCATAGGGTTGGAGGCTCATGGCTGGGATGACTGCCCTTATAAAAGGGTCGCCGGGGAGGCCCCTTCCACCACGTGAGGGCACAGAGAGAAGGCGCTGTCTATGAAGCAGGAGGCCTTTCCATACACACAGAACCCACCACACCTGGATCTTTGTCTTCCAGCCTCCAGAGCTCTGAGCGGTAAATGTCTGCGGTTTCTAAGTTAGCCCCTGTGTTCTGTTCTGGGATAGCCGCAGCCCCAGCCGGCTGGGGTAAGAGAGATAAGAGACCACCTGTGGCCCCTCTCCCTGCAACCCCTTTCCCTGTGGGAGCAGGAGCTCCTTCCCTCTCCCTGCAGCCCCTTTCCCTGTGGGAGCAGGAGCTCCTTCCCTCTCCCTGCATCCCCTTTCCCTGTGGGAGTGAGAGCTCCTTCCCTCTCCCTGCATCCCCTTTCCCTGTGGGAGTGAGAGCTCCTTCCCTCTCCCTGCATCCCCTTTCCCTGTGGGAGTGAGAGCTCCTTCCCTCTCCCTGCATCCCCTTTCCCTGTGGGAGCAGGAGCTCCTTCCCTCTCCCTGCATCCCCTTTCCCTGTGGGAGCAGGAGCTCCTTCCCTCTCCCTGCAGCCCCTTTCCCTGTGGGAGCAGGAGCTCCTTCCCTCTCCCTGCATCCCCTTTCCCTGTGGGAGCAGGAGCTCCTTCCCTCTCCCTGCAGCCCCTTTCCCTGTGGGAGTGAGAGCTCCTTCCCTCTCCCTGCAGCCCCTTTCCCTGTGGGAGTGAGAGCTCCTTCCCTCTCCCTGCATCCCCTTTCCCTGTGGGAGCAGGAGCTCCTTCCCTCTCCCTGCATCCCCTTTCCCTGTGGGAGCAGGAGCTCCTTCCCTCTCCCTGCAGCCCCTTTCCCTGTGGGAGCAGGAGCTCCTTCCCTCTCCCTGCATCCCCTTTCCCTGTGGGAGTGAGAGCTCCTTCCCTCTCCCTGCATCCCCTTTCCCTGTGGGAGTGAGAGCTCCTTCCCTCTCCCTGCATCCCCTTTCCCTGTGGGAGTGAGAGCTCCTTCCCTCTCCCTGCATCCCCTTTCCCTGTGGGAGCAGGAGCTCCTTCCCTCTCCCTGCATCCCCTTTCCCTGTGGGAGTGAGAGCTCCTTCCCTCTCCCTGCAGCCCCTTTCCCTGTGGGAGCAGGAGCTCCTTCCCTCTGCCTGCATCCCCTTTCCCTGTGGGAGTGAGAGCTCCTTCCCTCTCCCTGCAGCCCCTTTCCCTGTGGGAGTGAGAGCTCCTTCCCTCTCCCTGCATCCCCTTTCCCTGTGGGAGTGAGAGCTCCTTCCCTCTCCCTGCATCCCCTTTCCCTGTGGGAGCAGGAGCTCCTTCCCTCTCCCTGCATCCCCTTTCCCTGTGGGAGTGAGAGCTCCTTCCCTCTCCCTGCATCCCCTTTCCCTGTGGGAGTGAGAGCTCCTTCCCTCTCCCTGCATCCCCTTTCCCTGTGGGAGCAGGAGCTCCTTCCCTCTCCCTGCATCCCCTTTCCCTGTGGGAGTGAGAGCTCCTTCCCTCTCCCTGCATCCCCTTTCCCTGTGGGAGTGAGAGCTCCTTCCCTCTCCCTGCATCCCCTTTCCCTGTGGGAGTGAGAGCTCCTTCCCTCTCCCTGCATCCCCTTTCCCTGTGGGAGTGAGAGCTCCTTCCCTCTCCCTGCATCCCCTTTCCCTGTGGGAGCAGGAGCTCCTTCCCTCTCCCTGCATCCCCTTTCCCTGTGGGAGCAGGAGCTCCTTCCCTCTCCCTGCATCCCCTTTCCCTGTGGGAGTGAGAGCTCCTTCCCTCTCCCTGCAGCCCCTTTCCCTGTGGGAGCAGGAGCTCCTTCCCTCTCCCTGCATCCCCTTTCCCTGTGGGAGCAGGAGCTCCTTCCCTCTCCCTGCATCCCCTTTCCCTGTGGGAGCAGGAGCTCCTTCCCTCTCCCTGCATCCCCTTTCCCTGTGGGAGTGAGAGCTCCTTCCCTCTCCCTGCATCCCCTTTCCCTGTGGGAGTGAGAGCTCCTTCCCTCTCCCTGCAGCCCCTTTCCCTGTGGGAGCAGGAGCTCCTTCCCTCTCCCTGCATCCCCTTTCCCTGTGGGAGCAGGAGCTCCTTCCCTCTCCCTGCAGCCCCTTTCCCTGTGGGAGTGAGAGCTCCTTCCCTCTCCCTGCATCCCCTTTCCCTGTGGGAGTGAGAGCTCCTTCCCTCTCCCTGCATCCCCTTTCCCTGTGGGAGTGAGAGCTCCTTCCCTCTCCCTGCAGCCCCTTTCCCTGTGGGAGTGAGAGCTCCTTCCCTCTCCCTGCATCCCCTTTCCCTGTGGGAGCAGGAGCTCCTTCCCTCTCCCTGCATCCCCTTTCCCTGTGGGAGTGAGAGCTCCTTCCCTCTCCCTGCATCCCCTTTCCCTGTGGGAGTGAGAGCTCCTTCCCTCTCCCTGCATCCCCTTTCCCTGTGGGAGTGAGAGCTCCTTCCCTCTCCCTGCATCCCCTTTCCCTGTGGGAGTGAGAGCTCCTTCCCTCTCCCTGCATCCCCTTTCCCTGTGGGAGCAGGAGCTCCTTCCCTCTCCCTGCATCCCCTTTCCCTGTGGGAGTGAGAGCTCCTTCCCTCTCCCTGCATCCCCTTTCCCTGTGGGAGTGAGAGCTCCTTCCCTCTCCCTGCATCCCCTTTCCCTGTGGGAGTGAGAGCTCCTTCCCTCTCCCTGCAGCCCCTTTCCCTGTGGGAGCAGGAGCTCCTTCCCTCTCCCTGCATCCCCTTTCCCTGTGGGAGTGAGAGCTCCTTCCCTCTCCCTGCATCCCCTTTCCCTGTGGGAGCAGGAGCTCCTTCCCTCTCCCTGAATCCCCTTTCCCTGTGGGAGTGAGAGCTCCTTCCCTCTCCCTGCATCCCCTTTCCCTGTGGGAGTGAGAGCTCCTTCCCTCTCCCTGCAGCCCCTTTCCCTGTGGGAGTGAGAGCTCCTTCCCTCTCCCTGCAGCCCCTTTCCCTGTGGGAGTGAGAGCTCCTTCCCTCTCCCTGCATCCCCTTTCCCTGTGGGAGTGAGAGCTCCTTCCCTCTCCCTGCATCCCCTTTCCCTGTGGGAGTGAGAGCTCCTTCCCTCTCCCTGCAGCCCCTTTCCCTGTGGGAGCAGGAGCTCCTTCCCTCTCCCTGCAGCCCCTTTCCCTGTGGGAGTGAGAGCTCCTTCCCTCTCCCTGCATCCCCTTTCCCTGTGGGAGTGAGAGCTCCTTCCCTCTCCCTGCAGCCCCTTTCCCTGTGGGAGTGAGAGCTCCTTCCCTCTCCCTGCATCCCCTTTCCCTGTGGGAGTGAGAGCTCCTTCCCTCTCCCTGCAGCCCCTTTCCCTGTGGGAGCAGGAGCTCCTTCCCTCTCCCTGCATCCCCTTTCCCTGTGGGAGTGAGAGCTCCTTCCCTCTCCCTGCATCCCCTTTCCCTGTGGGAGTGAGAGCTCCTTCCCTCTCCCTGCAGCCCCTTTCCCTGTGGGAGCAGGAGCTCCTTCCCTCTCCCTGCATCCCCTTTCCCTGTGGGAGTGAGAGCTCCTTCCCTCTCCCTGCAGCCCCTTTCCCTGTGGGAGTGAGAGCTCCTTCCCTCTCCCTGCATCCCCTTTCCCTGTGGGAGCAGGAGCTCCTTCCCTCTCCCTGCAGCCCCTTTCCCTGTGGGAGCAGGAGCTCCTTCCCTCTCCCTGCATCCCCTTTCCCTGTGGGAGTGAGAGCTCCTTCCCTCTCCCTGCATCCCCTTTCCCTGTGGGAGTGAGAGCTCCTTCCCTCTCCCTGCAGCCCCTTTCCCTGTGGGAGCAGGAGCTCCTTCCCTCTCCCTGCATCCCCTTTCCCTGTGGGAGTGAGAGCTCCTTCCCTCTCCCTGCATCCCCTTTCCCTGTGGGAGTGAGAGCTCCTTCCCTCTCCCTGCAGCCCCTTTCCCTGTGGGAGTGAGAGCTCCTTCCCTCTCCCTGCATCCCCTTTCCCTGTGGGAGTGAGAGCTCCTTCCCTCTCCCTGCAGCCCCTTTCCCTGTGGGAGCAGGAGCTCCTTCCCTCTCCCTGCATCCCCTTTCCCTGTGGGAGTGAGAGCTCCTTCCCTCTCCCTGCATCCCCTTTCCCTGTGGGAGTGAGAGCTCCTTCCCTCTCCCTGCAGCCCCTTTCCCTGTGGGAGCAGGAGCTCCTTCCCTCTCCCTGCATCCCCTTTCCCTGTGGGAGTGAGAGCTCCTTCCCTCTCCCTGCATCCCCTTTCCCTGTGGGAGTGAGAGCTCCTTCCCTCTCCCTGCAGCCCCTTTCCCTGTGGGAGTGAGAGCTCCTTCCCTCTCCCTGCATCCCCTTTCCCTGTGGGAGCAGGAGCTCCTTCCCTCTCCCTGCATCCCCTTTCCCTGTGGGAGCAGGAGCTCCTTCCTCCACTGAAGAGATGAAGGGTCTCCACTCTGGCTTTTAGCAGGGGCAGAGGTTGCAGGTTCTGTGGGGGCTGCAGACTGGACTGTGCCTCTCTCTCTCTCTTTTTCTCTTCTCTGCATTTTCCCTCGCTTCTCTCTCTTTCTTTCTCTTCTCTCTGTTTTTTTCCTCTTTTTTTCTCTCCCCGTCTCTCCTCTTCCTCTCTCTCTCTCTCTCACGTCTCCGTGTTTCTCCCCCTCTTTCTCTCTGTCTCTCTTCTGTCTGTTTCATTCCTTTTTTCTCTCTGTGCCTGTCTCTCTCCTCTTCCTCTCCCTGTCTCTCTCCCCCTCTCTGTCTGTGTTTCTGCCCCTCTCTTTCTCTCTTCTCTCTGTTTTTTTCCTCTTTTTCTCTCCCCTTCTCTCTTCTCTTCCTCTCCGTCTGCCTCTGTCCCTCCCCTCTCTTTCTTCCTCTCCCTCTCTCTTCTCTCTCTCTCCCCTCTCCTCTTTCCTTTCTCTGTTTCATTCCTCTCTTTTCTCTCTCTTCTCTCCCTCTCCCTTCTCCCCCCTCCTCTCACTGCATCCCAATCCTTTCCTGGCCGTCCTCTCGCCCTCCTTCGCCTCCTCCTCTCCTGGAGGGTCCTACATTCTACTCCTGGCTCTTTCCTTCTCACTCTAGGTTCTCCCAGGGACTTCATCCACACCTATAATCTCATCCACCATCTCAATTCCTACGTCTGTGTTTTCACCCGGGAGCAGGGCTCAGCCAATCTTTTATTATTATCATTATTATTTTAAATAAAGGACTAGATGGTAAGAAAAAATACTGTGCATGTGGGTGCTGGATCTTTGCTGTCCTCATGGCCCCTGGTCCGTGAGGTTGCCCCTAAAACATATTTAAGAGAGTATCTCTGAAGTGTCTTCCTACCCTCATTAAATCTCTCATACACGGTCACCTCCCGGGATAAGACGCCTGTGAACCCCAAATATCTGAGACAGATCTCCAGCAAGTCAGGAAGTTTCTTCTGCCAAGGTTAAGAAGACAGCGTCCGTCACACCATCTTAGGAGGCTCTGACGACGTGTCCCAAGGTGGTCAGGGCACAGCTTGCTCTGTGTTGGTTTGGTTTGGAAAAGCAGGACAATATGAGGCGGGAAGAGGGTTTCCAGATCACAGGTAGGCAAGAGACAAACACTTGTGTTCTGTTGAGTTTCTTTCTTTTTGTTTTTTTTTTTTTTTTGAGATGAGTCTCACTCTGTCACCTGAAAATGAGAATTTTTATTTTTATTTTTATTTTTTTTTTGAGATGGAGTCTTGCTCTGTTGCCCAGGCTGGAGTGCAGTGGTGGGATCTCGGCTCACTGCAACCTCCACCTCCCGGGTTCAAGTGATTCTCCTGCCTCAGCCTCCTGAGTAGCTGGGATGACAGGCACCCGCCCCCACACCTGGCTATTCTTTGTATTTTTAGTAGAGATCGGGTTTCACCATCTTGGTCAGGCTGGTCTTGAACTCCTGACCTCATGATCCGCCCGCCTCGGCCTCCCAAAGTGCTGGGATGACAGGCGTGAGTCACTGCGCCCGTCTCGCTCTGTCACCCAGGCTGGAGTGCAGTGGTGGGATCTCGGCTCACTGCAACCTCCACCTCCCAGGTTCAAGTGATTCTCCTGCCTCAGCCTCCCGAGTAGCTGGGACTACAGGTGCCTGCCACCATGCCTGGCTAGTTTTTGTATTTTTAGTAGAGACGGGGTTTCACCATCTTCGTCAGGCTGGTCTTGAACTCCTGACCTCATGATCCGCCCACCTCAGCCTCCCAAAGTGCTGGGATGACAGGCGTGAGCCACCGCGCCCGGTCCTGTTGAGTTTCTAATTAGCCTTTCCAAAGGAGACCATGAGATATGCATTTATCTCAGTGAGTAGAGGGATGCTTTCAGCTCTTGAGTTCTGTCTTGTCCCTTGTCCACGAGGAATTTCTGTGGATAGATTGTGAGGGAAGACTGTGGCTCTTTTCTCCTGGTAGCTATCTTTTTTTTTTAGGAGTCAAATAGGAGACAGGGTTGTCTGAGACAGTTCCCAGCTTGAATTTTTCCCTTTAAGTCGTGTCCTGTATCAGCCAATGCTGGATTTCAGGTAGGCGGCTGGATTGAAAGATGGATAAATGAATAAGTGGGTGAGTGATTGACATCAGGGACCAGTTGGGGTGGGAGGTGAAGGGGCTTAACCCTCCATCCTCCACCTCAGCCTGTATAATATTATTTTATTCTTCTAAGGTAACATGAGTTTCTCTCTTTGGGGTTTATCTCTTTTAAAGTTTTGATGTATGTACGCTTTCTCCATCTTGCTGTCTTTGTTCACCTCTAACAATGTATTTTGTTCGATATAAGGTGCTTTGGTGTTTCGTTGTATTTTTTTAAGTTTGATTCTCCCTTTTCCATTTTTCTGTCTCCATGGCGGAGTCCCGGGACCTCCCCAGGGACGGGCGAGTCACAATATCTGTGGCCGACGGGCCCATCTGTCTTCCTCTCCTGCGTTTTTCAACGATGGTCCATTATGCAAACGATCCTGGCCAGAGACAAGGAATAATATCAGATAAGGGAGAATTACAATGCCATAAATAGAAGAAGGCTTTTTTTTTTTTTTTGGAATATAAACTTGATCATTTTTTTTAAATTTTATTATTATTATATTTTAAGTTTTAGGGTACATGTGCACAACGTGCAGGTTTCTTACATATGTATACATGTGCCATGTGTTTTTTGTAACATGGTAATACTCTCTTAGAGAAAGGACCACACTCCCTTTATTCGTTTTTCCCTGGTATGTTATTAGTTTTTGTTTCTTTTTTTTTTTTTTAATTTTACTTTAAGTTCTGGGATACATATGCAGAACGTGCAGGTTTGTTACATAGGTATATACACGTGCCACGGTGGTTGGCTGCACCCATCCACCCGTCATCTACATTAGTAGCTGAGATTACAGGTGCCCGCCACCATGCCCGGCTAATTGTTGTATTTTCAGTGGAGACAGGGTTTCACTATGTTGGCCAGGCTGCTCTTGAACTCACGCCTGTTATCCCAGCACTTTGGGAGGCTGAGGCGGGTGGATCACGAGGTCAGGAGATCGAGACCATCCTGGCTCACACGGTGAAACCCCGTCTCTACTAAAAATACAAAAATTAGCCGGGCGTGGTGGTGGCGGGCGCCTGTAGTCCCAGGTATTCGGGAGGCTGAGGCAGGAGGATCACTTGAACCCGGGAGGCGGAGCTTGCGGTGAGCCGAGATCGTGCCACTGCACTCCAGCCTGGGTGACAGTGCGAGACTCTGTCTCAAAAAAAAAAAAAAAAAAAAAAAAGATTCTTATTTGCAGGTGACAGAGGGATTCAGAAGGGTCACCTGGCCACTTTTGAACAAGAATCCTGAGAAATCTACCCAGTCTGGATGGCCGGCAGCTCAGGAGGGTGAAACTCCAATGGTGTTGGAAAAGCTGAATAATTTTTTTTTTTTAGGCACAAAGACTGAACTATCTCATGCATTCTTGTAACACCTTGGAAGATGACTTTCCAGCCACGTTCTGTTATTAGAAAATAAATTAGAAAAATTCTTGGTGAGTGTTTCTATGTATTCCAGGCTACACCTCCCTACCCGCCCCCCCTTTTTTTTTTTAAAGCCAGCGTGACTCTGACCTTTGGTAACCTCACATTCTTTGCTCAAAAACATGTGATATGAACACAGATGGCTTTCATGCCAACCTAAGTGGTATCATATGCCTCCCTGAAGCCCCCGGCTCCGGCCAGCCAATTTGCACTTTTTTGCCGCTGAGGAATTGGTACGACGTGCAAACAATTCTGCCTTATCAAAAGCAGGACACCTTTTAAACTCTGTGCAAAGTCCTCAAATTGGCTTGATGAATAGCTTGGACACGCACCCACACACAGGATGTTTTGACTTGTGGGTTTAGCCTTGGGATCTGGAGGTTTTGATTTCACCTCAGCTGACATGAACCAGAGACGGTGGGCTGAGAAAGGAATCGCTCTTCTGAAAATGAGGCATTTCCAGAGCTCAAAGGGAAGGGAAAAGGAAGTCAGTGTCTTCCCTGGTTGACGAAGTATGGGAGGTTTCTTTTTCTTTAGGAGTACCTTTCCTCAGGCCTCCCCCGATATTATGGGACATTTGCGGACCTGGATTTTTCTGGACAGAATTTATCTCAGTGTGGCTGTGATTGACAATGAGAGTCTAAACACAAATAAGTAGAAATATCTTAAACTTAAAGAACTTAAACAAATTGACAAGAAAAAAAACAACCCATCAAAAAGTGGGCAAAGGATATGAACAGACACTTCTCAAAAGAAGACATTTATGCAGCCAACAAACCTATAAAAAAAATGCTCACCATCACTGGCCATCAGAGAAATGCAAATCAAAACCACGATGAGATACCATCTCACGCCAGTTAGAATACGATCAGTAAAAAGTGGGGAAACAACAGGTGCTGGAGAGGATGTGGAGAAATAGGAACGCTTTTACACCGTTGGTGGGACTGTAAACTAGTTCAACCATTGTGGAAGACAGTGTGGCGATTCCTCAGGGATCTAGAACCAGAAATACCATTTGACCCAGCCATCCCATTACTGGGTATATACCCAAAGGAGTATAAATCATGCTGCTATAAAGACACATGCACACGTATGTTTATTGCAGCACTATTCACAATAGCAAAGACTTGGAACCAACCCAAATGTCCATCAGCGATAGACTGGATGAAGAAAATGTGGCACATACACACCATGGAATACTATGCAGCCATCAAAAAGGATGAGTTCATGTCCTTTGCAGGGACATGGATGAAGCTGGAAACCACCATTGTCAGCAAACTGTCGCAAGGACAGAAAACCAAACACTGCATGTTCTCCTTCATAAGTGGGAGTTGAACAATGAGAACACATGGACACAGGGAGGGGAACATCACACACCAGGGCCTGTCGGGGGCTGGGGGAGCTAGGGGAGGGAGAGCATTAGGACAAATACCTAATGTAGATGACGGGTTGATGGGTGCAGCAAACCACCATGGCACGTGTACACCTACGTAACAAACCTGCCCGTTCTCCACATGTACCCAGAACGTAAAGTATAATTTAAAAAATAAATAAAAATAAATTTATCAACTGTCCTTTCTTCTCCAACTGGCAGAGCACCTTCCCTTTCTGTTGCATTTTTTTCCTCATCTTTCTGCAAGAATTCTCTCTTCCAGGAACAAGCCCTCTTTGGCAGTGGAGCTCTGGGGCCATTCTTATCCAGAACAGACATGCCTGGGCAACTAGACATAGAGAAATTATGAGTTTTTTATTTTATTTCATGGACTATTTATTTATTTTTTAGAGACAAAGTCTTGCTCTGTTTCTCAGGCTGGAGTGCAGTGGTACAATCAAAGCTCATGGCAGCCTCAACCCCCTGGGCTCAAGGGAATCCTCCTGCCTCAGCCTCCCAAGTAGCTGGGACCACAGGCACCCACCACCACGCCTGACTAATTTTTTGTATTTTTAGTAGAGACGGGGTTTCACTGTGTTAGCCAGGATGGTCTCGATCTCCTGACCTCATGATCCGCCTGCCTCGGCCTCCTAAAGTGCTGGGATGACAGGCATCAGCCATCACACCCAGCTCAATTTTTTATTTTGAATGAGAGAGCAAAGTAGGATTGTGAGTGAGGTTCTATTTTGCCATAAGAGGAAAAGAAAACATACCTCCAGGGATAATCACCCTCATTCCATAGGAGAAAGTCATTTTAGGTCGAGCTTGATGGCTCATGCCTGTCATCCCAGCACTTTGGGAGGCTGAGATGAGTGTTCAGGGGTTGTAGACCAGTCTGGGCAACATGGTGAAACCCCATCTCTACTAAAATACAAAACATCAGCCAGGTGTGGTGGTGCATGCCTGTAATCCCAGCTACTCAGGAGGCTGAGGCATGTGAATTGCTTGAGCCCAGGAGGTGGAGGTTGCAGTTAGCAGAGATCGCACCACTGCACAGCCTGCTTGGCTGTTTTATTCTCTGCAGCTCCTCTGGTCCTGGTGGGTTCATTTCTTTGCTCCCATCTCAGTGAGATCTGGGGAAGGAGCAGGTTGAACACCTGGATCCAAACAGCCAGGCTTAGCAAAAGTCTGTCTTTCTTTCTTTTCTTTTCCTTCTTTCCTTTCTTTCTTTCTTTCTTTCTTTCTTTCTTTCTTTCTTTCTTTCTTTCTTTCTTTCTCTTTCTTTCTTTTCTTTCTTTCTCTTTCTTTCTTTTCTTTCTTTCTCTTTCTTTCTTTCTTTCTTTCTTTCTTTCCTTTCTTTCTCTTTTTTCTTTCTTTCTTTCTTTCTTGCTTTCTCTTTCTTTCTTTTTCTTTCTTTTCTTTCTCTTTCTTTCTTTTCTTTCTTTCTCTTTCTTTCTTTTCTTTCTTTCTTTCTTTCTCTTTTTTCTTTCTTTCTTGCTTGCTTTCTCTTTCTTTCTCTTTCTTTCTTTCCTTTCTTTCTTTCTTTCTTTCTTTCCTTTCTTTCTCTTTTTTCTTTCTTTCTTTCTTGCTTGCTTTCTCTTTCTTTTCTTTCTTTCTCTTTCTTTCTTTTTCCTTTCTTCCTTCCTTTTTTCCTTCCTTCCTTTCTTCCCTTCTTTCTTTCTTTCTCTTTTTTCTTTCTTTCTTTCTTGCTTGCTTGCTTTCTCTTTCTTTCTTTCTTTTCTTTCTTTTTCCTTTCTTCCTTCCTTTCTTTTTTCCTTCCTTCCTTTCTTCCCTTCTTTCTTCCCTTCTTTCTTTCTTCTTTCTTTCTTTCTTTCTTTCTTTCAGAAAAACTTTCTTTCTTTCTTTCCTTCCTTCCTTCCTTTCTGTTTTCTTTCTCTTCTTTTTGGCACAAACACATTTATTTATTTACTTTTAATAATAAATAAACACATTTATTTATTATTTACTTATTTTTGTAAATAAGTAAATAATTATTTTTGAGATGAATCTCGCTCTGTCCCCAGGCTGGAGTGCAGTGGCACGATCTCAGCTCACTGCAACCTCTGTGTCCCGGGTTCAAGCGATTCTCCTGCCTCAGCCTCCCGAGTAGCTGGGATTACAGGTATGCACCACCACACCTGGCTAACTTTTGTATTTTTAGTAGAGACGGGGTCTCACCATCTTGGTCAGGCTGGTCTCGAACTCCTGATCTCGTGATTCTCCAGCCTTGGCCTCCCAAAGTGCTGGGATTACAGGCGTGAGCCACCGTGCCTGGCCACACATTTATTTATTAACCAAAGGGATGATCCTAATTAATCCAACACTTTGAAATAGCTGCATGGAAAATGGTTGTGATAAAGATAATTGAACACAGTAATGAAAAAAGAAGCACTATGCAGATTTGCTTCATTGGACTGAGCATGTTTATTCTCGTAGTTAATTCCTGTCCAAAGTAATGATGCGATTTTTATTTATTTTATTTTATTTTATTTATTTATTTTTTTGAGATGGAGTCTCACTCTGTTGCCCAGGCTGGAGTGCAATGGCAGGATCTCGGCTCACTGCAACCTCCACCTCTCCTGCCTCAGCCTCCCGAGTAGCTGGGACTACAGGCGCCCGCCACCACACCCGGCTCATTTTTGTATTCTTAGCAGAGACGGGGTTTCACCATGTTGGTCAGGCTGCTCTCAAACTCCTGATCTCATGATTTGCCCACCTCAGCCTCCCAAAGTGCTGGGATGACAGGCCTGAGCCACCGCACCTGACCATGATGCTGGGATTTTGATTCTACTTGTTCATAGATGTGAGTAGAGGTGACTTTGCTCATCACACAGTCCGACACTAATTTCCCATCTTTTGGTTTTCTTGTTAGTCTGAGTTTTTCTGTCCTCACTTGTGGTTTCTTCAAACTTCTCTCCCAGGGTACAGGAACACTGTCTTCTCAAAGTGCCCTCAGTTTTTCTGGTGAGACTTTTGCCATCACAAGTCACGATACAATCTGGTTCGGCCATTGAGTCCGTTTTTCCCAAAGCGATTCAGACTCCTAGTTCCTTCACGTATTCATCAAAGCGTTTGCTGTCCACCAGGTGCCATCTTCCTTCCGGCTGTTGGATGGGGGCCAATTCCTTAGAAGGGCGGGGGTCTCGGAGAGATGGATGAGGCTTCCTGGAGAAAGGTGGGTTGGCCCTGACCTGAAGGGAGGGTGCAGCCTGGGGCAGGGGAAGGGGTCCATGCTGGGTGCATCCATGCAGAGATAATATGGGGTGATCATGATTCTTTCCATGAGGGTCACAATGAAGATCATCTTTGTTTGTTTTTTTTTTCTTTTTTTTTCGAGACAGAGTTTCGCTCTTGTCACCCAGGCTGGAGTGCAATGGCACAATCTCGGCTCACTGCCACCTCCGCCTCTCGGGTTCAAGCGATTCTCCTGCTTCAGCCTCCCGAGTAGCTGGGATTGCAGGTGTGCACCACCACGCCCAGCTAATTTTGTATTTTTTTTTTTAGTAGAGACGAGGTTTCTCCATGTTGGCCAGGCTGGTCTCGAACTCCTGACCTCAGGTGATCCACCCGCCTCGGCCTCCCAAAGTGCTGGGATGACAGGTGTGAGCCACCGTGCCCGGCCGATCATCTTTGTTTTATGCATTTCTGCATTTTCCAGTTTGCGTCCATGATCGTACCTCCATTTAGAATTGGAACGTGTCTGTGGAAACCAATCCACAAACACAGACAAAAATGAGGAAGAACTTACGGGATTTGCTAAAGTTTTAACGTACGGGTGCCGTATCACCAGAATGCCACTCTTACATGTGTACCCAAAAGAATTTTTAAAAGGGACTCAAGGCCGGGCGCGGTGTTTCACGCCTGTGATCCCAGCACTTTGGGAGGCCGAGACGGGTGGATCACGAGGTCAGGAGATCGAGACCATCCTGGCTAACATGGAGAAACCCTGTCTCTACTAAAAATACAAAAAATTAGCCGGGCACGGTGGTGGGCGCCTGTAGTCCCAGCTACTCGGGAGGCTGAGGCAGGAGAATAGCATGAACCCGGGAGGCGGAGGTTGCAGTGAGCTGAGGGTGTGCCACTGCCCTCCAGCCTGGGCGACAGAGCGAGACTCCATCTCAAAAAAAAAAACCAAAGGAGAGTCAAACAAGGACTGTAGGACAGTGTTCACAGCAGCAAGTTTGACGGTAGCCAAAAGATGGAAAAAAACCAAGGGTCTGTTGATGGATAAACGCAATGTGGTCCATCCATGCAGTGGAATATTATACACCCACGAAAAGGAAAGAAGCTAGCTCTGACACAGGCTGCAGTGTGGATGGACCTGGAAGACATCACGCTCAGTGACAGAAGCCAGACACAAAAGGCCACGTTGTGTAGGATTCCGTTATATAAATGCAATGTGGTCCATCCATGCAGTGGAATATTATACACCCATGAAAAGGAAGGAAGCTAACTCTGAGACAGGCTGCAGTGTGGGTGGACCTCAAGGACATCACGCTCAGTGAGAGAAGCCAGACACAAAAGGCCATATCACGCAGGATTCCATTTATATAAAATGCCCAGAACAGGCAAACCCACAGAGACAGAAAGTGGATTTGTGGTTACCAGGGGCCGGGGAGGGGCTGGGGACTCACTGCTGCCTGCATACAGGGTCTCTTTTTGGAGTGATAAAAATGTTCTGGAACTAAATAGAGGCGGTGATTGCAGAGCATTAAAAATCATTCAAATGGGGTTATTATTTTTTTTTTTTTTTGAGACGGAGTTTCACTCTTGTTGCCCAGGCTGGAGTGCAGGGGAGCGATCTGAGCTCACTGCAACCTCCACCTCCCGAGTTGAAGTGATTTTCCTGCCTCAGCCTCCCTAGTAGCTGGGATTAGAGGCGCCCACCACCACACCCAGCTAATTTTTGTGTTTTTAGTAGAGACGGGGTTTCACCATGTTGGCCGGGCTGGTCTCGAACTCCTGACCTCAGATGATCCACCCGCCTCGGCCTCCCAAAGTGCTGGGATTACAGGCGTGAGCCACCACTCCTGGCCTCAGATGGGGAATTTTATGCTATGTCAATTATATCTAAATAAAAAACTTAAAGAAAGAAAAGGAACGAAGGAAGGAAGGAAAGAAGGAAGGAAGGAAAGAGGAAGGAAGGAAGGAAGAGACAAAAATAAACCAAAATAGGGAATGTCCACCTTGGAGGCTGATGTTCACGTCCACAGGTGCTGCCTCCCCAGACACTTACTCAACTCTGAAGCCTTCACCGGTAAGACAGCAGGGGTGGGGGGACGGCGGAGTCTTTGATCAGAAGAGGGCTCAACAGGCAAGGGGACCTGGTCCTTGCAAAAAACTCGGACTGCAGTACGGGCCGTGGGATCGGCCTCGTGTGTGGCCTGCACCCTTTTCCCCGTCAGGGAAGGACTGTTTGTTTGTTTTCTGCATCATCATCCATCACGCGGCATTGTCAGCCCTGACAGCTCAGGAGGGCCTTTTTCAACATCTCTTTATCTGACAGCGTTCATGCATCATAAGACAGCAAACAGAATTAGATCAAAGTCTACGAGGCCGTGTCGGCTCGGTGAGGAAGGCGAGCCAGCTTGTATCTTCATAAGAGAGGTGACAGTTGGTTTGAACTGGCGTTGGGCCGCAGAGGGCTGGGGAGTGCAGAGAGGACTGGGGACGAGGGCTGGGATTCTTGGCTTTCCAGGAGGAACAGCCCTGCTCCCTTCTGTCCACTTGCCACCTTCCTGGGTCTCTTTCCCCAGTAGGTGTGGTTCCTTCTGTCCTGCAGGCCACAGTGCAACCCAGGGCTTCGGAGCACGCGTTGATAGTCCTGATTTTTGTCTGACATCTTTGCAGAAAACGGAGAGCATCCCCTCAGGCAATGGGATACTGTCCCTCTGGCGCCGACCACACTCTGCGACTTGTCATGATGGGTAACAGGTGTGTCTGCAGCTTGACCTTGCAGCTGGGGCAGCCGCAGAGAGGTGCAGGAAGGAGAGCGATGGGAGAGAAAACGAAGGTGTGCTCAGTGGCGGAGAGAAATTCCAAAATTTCACTGGAGCAAGTTTAGCCCAGCTGGCTGCTGGAGAAACGCTTCTCCTGGATACTGTGGAGACTATATGGAGAATGAATTCCTTCCTTCCTCCCTCCCTCTTTCTTTCTTTCTTTCCTTCTTTCTTCCTTTCTTTCTTTCCTTCTTCTTTTTCTTTCTTCTTTCTTTCTTTCTTATCTCTCTCCTTCCTTATTCCTTTTCTTCCTTCCCTTCCCTCCCTTCCCTTTCCTTCTTTCCTTCCTTCCCTTCCTTCCTTCCTCTTTCCTTCCTTTCTCTTTTTCTTTCTTCTCTCTCTCTTTCCTTCCTTATTCCTCATCTTCCTTCCTCTTTCCTTTCTTTCTCTTTTTCTTTCTTCTCTCTCTTTCCTTCCTTATTCCTCATCTTCCTTCCTCTTTCCTTTCTTTCTCTTTTTCTTTCTTCTCTCTCTTTCCTTCCTTATTCCTCATCTTCCTTTCTCTTTCCTTTCTTTCTCTTTTTCTTTCTTCTCTCTCTTTCCTTCCTTATTCCTCATCTTCCTTCCTCTTTCCTTTCTTTCTCTTTTTCTTTCTTCTCTCTCTTTCCTTCCTTATTCCTCATCTTCCTTCCTCTTTCCTTCCTTTCTCTTTTTCTTTCTTCTCTCTCTCTTTCCTTCCTTATTCCTCATCTTCCTTCCTCTTTCCTTCCTTTCTCTTTTTCTTTCTTCTCTCTCTCTTTCCTTCCTTATTCCTCATCTTCCTTCCTCTTTCCTTCCTTTCTCTTTTTCTTTCTTCTCTCTCTCTTTCCTTCCTTATTCCTCATCTTCCTTCCTCTTTCCTTCCTTTCTCTTTTTCTTTCTTCTCTCTCTCTTTCCTTCCTTATTCCTCATCTTCCTTCCTCTTTCCTTCCTTTCTCTTTTTCTTTCTTCTCTCTCTCTTTCCTTCCTTATTCCTCATCTTCCTTCCTCTTTCCTTCCTTTCTCTTTTTCTTTCTTCTCTCTCTCTTTCCTTCCTTATTCCTCATCTTCCTTCCTCTTTCCTTCCTTTCTCTTTTTCTTTCTTCTCTCTCTCTTTCCTTCCTTATTCCTCATCTTCCTTCCTCTTTCCTTCCTTTCTCTTTTTCTTTCTTCTCTCTCTCTTTCCTTCCTTATTCCTCATCTTCCTTCCTCTTTCCTTCCTTTCTCTTTTTCTTTCCTTCCTCTTTCCTTCCTTTCTCTTTTTCTTTCTTCTCTCTCTCTTTCCTTCCTTATTCCTCATCTTCCTTCCTCTTTCCTTTCTTTCTCTTTTTCTTTCTTCTCTCTCTCTTTCCTTCCTTATTCCTCATCTTCCTTCCTCTTTCCTTCCTTTCTCTTTTTCTTTCTTCTCTCTCTCTTTCCTTCCTTATTCCTCATCTTCCTTCCTCTTTCCTTTCTTTCTCTTTTTCTTTCTTCTCTCTCTCTTTCCTTCCTTATTCCTCATCTTCCTTCCTCTTTCCTTCCTTTCTCTTTTTCTTTCTTCTCTCTCTTTCCTTCCTTATTCCTTTTCTTCCTTCCCTCCCTCCCTCCATCCTTCCTTCCTTTTTCTCTTCTTTCCTTCTCTTCTTTCTTCTTTCTTTCTTTCTTTCTTTCTTTCTTTCTTTCTTTCTTTCCTTTCTCTCTTCCTCCCTCCCTCCCTCCCTTCCTTCCCTTCCTTCCTTCCCTCTTCCTTCCCTTCCCTCCCTTCCCTTTCCTTCTTTCCTTCTTTCTCTTCCTTCCCTTCCCTTTCCTTCCCCTTCCTTCCTTCTTTCGTTCCTTCATTTCTTCCTTCCTTCTTTCCCTCCCTCCCTTCCTTCCTTCTTTCCTTCCTTCCCTCTGTCTCTGTCCTTTCTTCTCTCTCTTTCTCTGTTTTTTTTTTTTTTTTTTTTGGAGACAGGGTCTCACTCTGTCACCCAGACTGGAGTGCAGTGGTGCAATCACAGCTCACTGCAGCCTCAACCTCCTGGGCTCTAGCAATCCTCCCACCTCAGCCTCCTGAGTAGCTGGGACTACAGGAGTGCACCACCATGCCCGGCTAATTTTTTTTTTTCTTTGTTTTTGTAGAGACAAGCTTTCACCGTGTGACCCACTCTGGTCTCAAAGTCCTGGGCTCAAGCGATTCTCCTGCCTTGGCCTCCTGAAGTGCTGGGATTTCAGGTGTGAGTCACTGCACCCAACCTGGATGGAGATGTTTTTGTTTGCGCCTGGACGTGTCTTGCAAACTTGCCAAGGCTTCTGTCTTCATCGAGCTGAACCAGGGTTCTCAGCAGCTCACAATGATTATTCTTAATTTTTTTTTTTTTTTTTTGAGACGGAGTCTCGCTCTGTTGCCCAGGCTGGAGTGCAGTTGGTGCCATCTCGGCTCACTGCAAGCTCTGTCTCCCGGGTTCACGCCATTCTCCTGCCTCAGCCTCCCGAGTAGCTGGGACTACAGGCGCCCGCCACCACGCCCGGCTAATTTTTTGGTATTTTTAGTAGAGACGGGGTTTCACCGTGTTAGCCAGGCTGGTCTCGATCTCCTGACCTCGTGATCCACCCACCTCGCCCTCCCAAGGTGCTGAGATTACAGGTGTTCCTAAATATTTGTAAGTGCCAGGTGTTTAATGAAAGCGTAATGGGTAGAGAAGCCATCTCATGTGTATATTGTCACACGTGTCCGTGTGAAGAGACCACGAAACAGACTTCATGTGAGCAATAAAACTTTTTAATCACCTGGGTGCAGGCGGGCTGAGTCCGAAAAGAGAGTCACTGCAGGGAGATACGGGCGGGGCCGTTTTATAGGATTTGGGTACATAGTGGAAAATTACAATCAAAGGGGGTTGTTCTCTGGCTGGCAGGGGGCAGGTGACACAAGGTGCTCATTGAGCCAGGATGAGCCAGGAGAGGGAATTTCACAAGGTAAAGTCATCGCTTAAGGCAGGAACAAGCCATTTTCACTTCTTTCGTGATTTTTCGGTTACTTCAGGCCATCTGGATGTATATGTGCAGGTCACAGGGCATATGATGGCTTCGCTTGGGCTCAGAGGCCTGACATATATGTGTGTGAATGTACATGTATGTGTGCAGGCATGCGCCTATATGTGTCTGTAGGTGTACGTATGTATGTGTATATATGTGTGAATATGCATGTATGTGTATAGGCCTATGCGCGTATATATGTGTGCACATGTATGTATTTGTGTGTGCATGTGTATATGTCTGTATGTATGTGTATATGTGTGCATGTATGTGTATATGTGTGTATGTATGTGTATGCATTTATAACGTGTGTATGTATATGTGTTTCTGCATATATTTGTTATGCATGCATATCTGTGTATGTATATGTGTGCATGTGTGTATAATGTGTGTATATGTGTGTATGTGTGTATATATGTATGTATGTGTTATAACGTATGTATATGCATATGTTATGTGTGCATATCTGTGTGTATGTATATATGTGTGTGCATTGTGTAAATATGTGTGTGTGCATGTGTGTATAGTGTGTGTGTTTGCATGTATACCAAGATAACTTTCAGCAGTCCTTATGCATGTTATGTGTGCATATGTGTGTATGTGTATGTGTGTGCATATCTGTGTGTATGTATATGTGTATGCATGTGTGTATGTGTGTGCATGTGTGTATAGTGTGTGTGCACGTATGTGTATGTGTGTGTGTGCATGTGTGTATAGTGTGTGTGTATACCGAGATAGCTTTCAGCAGTCCTTATGCATATGTCATGTGTGCATATCCGTGTGTATGTATGTGTGTGCACGTATGTGTATATGTGTGTGTGTGCATGTGTGTATAGTGTGTGTGTATACCGAGATAACTTTCAGCAGTCCTTATGCATGTTATGTGTGCATATCTGTGTGTATGTATGTGTGTGTGCATGTGTGTATATATGTGTGTGTACGTGTGTATATGTGTGTGTGCATGTGTGTATGTGTATGTGTGTGCACGTGTGTATATGTGTGTGCATGTGTGTATGTGTATGTGTGTGCACGTGTGTATATGTGTGTGCATGTGTGTATATATGTGTGTGTGTGCGTGTATACTGAGATAACTTTCAGCAGTCCTTATGCATATGTCATGTGTGCATATGTATGTATATGTGTGTGCATATTTGTGTGTATGTATATAAGTGTGTGCATTGTGTGCAATGTGTGTGTGCACGTGTGTATATGTGTGTGTGCATGTGTGTATATATATGTGTGTGTGTTTGCATGTATACCGAGATAATTTTCAGCAGTCCTTATGCATATGTTATGTGTGCATATCTGTGGGTATGTATATGTGTGTGCACGTGTGTGCAATGTGTGTGTGCATGTGTGTTAGTGGGTGTGTGTGCGCATGTATACGGAGATAACTTTCAGCAGTCCTTTGCCTTCTAGTGGCATTCTCACGTTTAATTTTATTCCCTCCTTTTTTAAGCTGTCTGACTCCTCTTACTTTTGCCCGCGCCTTCGGTTTTGCTGGCGTGAGCCTCCCCCGGGTGTGAGTATTGCCTCTCCGTCAGGACCTGGCTGAGGCTCTCCCATGGATCTTGTAGCAGCAAAGTGTCGTCACTGTGAGAGGCAGGACTTTTAAAAGCCCTCCAAGATGACCATCCTCCAGTGGCCACTTTTTGATTTCTTTAAGAGGCATTTTGATTCCACAGTCTCTCGTGATGCTGCATTCCTTTTCCACTGGCATTTACAGCTGGAATCACGGGCAGTTTCCCTCCCGGGGTGAAAAGGCGGCCGTGAGTGTGGCTCTGCAGGGAGCCCTGGAGACTGGGTTTCTGCCCCCAGGCCTCTGCCCAGGTGTGTAACACAGCGAGGGGCACCCAGGCTGTTTGCATAGCAATTGGGGTGTGATTTGCAATTTAATAACAGTCCTGAGGGCTTCAGGACCAACAGCTCAATGGGACCAGCTGCTCTCAGCTCCTCTGAGGGCAAGAAATGAAAATTAAATTAAATTTAGAACAGAGTCATGACATAAATGACAGTGGGGAAGATGGGGGTTGTGTACCAGGCAAGCGTTCTTGGACGAGACACCGGGGTAGGGCTGACGCAGGTGAGACCCCCTCTGGCCCCCCACCCCACTGTCCCCCACTTGTACAAGTGCCTGGTGGACCTGGGACTAGCAGGAATGTGTCCCCAGCATGCTTTTGCTGTCAGTGTTTGCCCTTAACTTGTCTGAGTATCAGAATTAGCTCTGATTCTTTTAACTTTAAATTGGTATTCTTATTATTTGAGACGGAGTTTCCCTCTTGTCACCCAGGCTGGAGTGCAATGGCACAATGTTGGCTCGCTGCAACCTCTGCCTCCCTCATTCAAGCGATTCTCCTGCCTCAGCCTCCAGAAACTTTTAACTTTCAATTGATATTATTATTATTATTATTATTATTATTATTATTTGAGACAGAGTTTCACTCTTGTCACCCAGGCTGGTTGCAATGGCACAATTTTGACTCATTGCAATGGCGTGATCTCGGCTCACTGCAACCTCCACCTCCCAGGTTCAAGAGATTCTCCTGCCTCAGCCTCCAGAAACTTTTAACTTTCAATTGATATTATTATTATTATTATTATTTGAGATGGAGTTTCAATCTTGTTGCCCAGGCTGGAGTGCAATGGCACAATGTTGGCTCGCTGCAACCTCTGCCTCCCGGGATCAAGAGATTCTCCTGCCTCAGCCTCCAGAGCCTTTTAACTTTCAATTGGTATTATTATTATTATTATTATTATTATTATTGTTATTTGAGACGGAGTTTCACTCTTGTCACTCAGGCTGGAGTGCAATGGCACAATGTTAGCTCGCTGCAACCTCTGCCTCCCTCATTCAAGCGATTCTCCTGCCTCAGCCTCCAGAAACTTTTAACTTTCAATTGGTATTATTATTATTATTATTATTATTATTATTATTATTATTATTTGAGATGGAGTTTCACTCTTGTCACCCAGGCTGGAGTGCAATGGCACAATGTTGGCTCACTGCAACCTCTGCCTCCCAGGATCAAGAGATTCTCCTGCCTCAGCCTCCAGAGCCTTTTAACTTTCAATTGGCATTATTATTATTATTATTATTTGAGATGGAGTTTCACTCTTGTCACCCAGGCTGGAGTGCAACGGTGCGATCTCGGCTCACTGCAACCTCCACCTCCCAGGTTCAAGCGATTCTCCTGCCTCAGCTTCCCGAGTAGCTGAGACTACAGACGCCCGCCACCATGCCCGGCTAATTTTTATTATTTAGTATTTTTATTTTTTAGTATTCTTAGTATTTTTATTATTCAGTATTTTTAGTAGAGCCGGGGTTTCACCACATTGGCAAGGCTGGTCTCGAACTCCTGACCTCCGGTGATCCACCCACCTCGGCCTCCCAAAATGCTGGGATTACAGGCGTGAGCCGCCATGCCCGGCCGAAATTGGTATTATTTTTAAAAACCACCCGGCCATATATAAAAGCCAAAAGAATGCTAACAAGAACTCCCATAAACCCACCACTTGGCATCAATAATCAGCATTTTGCCAGTTTATTCTGTTTTTTTATTGTCATTTTAAGACAGGTTTCCACCATGTTGCCCAGGCTGGTCTCGAACCCCTGGGCTCAAGGGATCCTCCTGCCTCAGCCTCCCAACATGCTGGGATTACAGACATGAGCCACTGTGCCTGGCTAGCATTGTGCCTTTTTTTTTTTTTGAGGTGGAGTCTTGCTTTGTTGCCCAGACTGGAGTTCAGTGGCACGATCCCGGCTCACTGCAACCTCCACCTCCAGGGTTCAACTGATTCTCCTGCCTCCACCTCCCAGGTTCAAGTGATTCTCCTGCCTCAGCCTCCCTACTAGCTGGGATTACAGGCACCTGGCACCGTGCCTGGCTAATTTTTGTATTTTTAGTAGAGACGGGGTTTCTCCATGTTGGCCAGGCTGGTCTCGAACTCCTGACCTCAGTTGATCCTACCGCCTCGGCCTCCCAATGTGCTGGGATTACAGATGTGAGCCACTGTCCCTGGCCAGCATTGTGCCATTTATATATATATATATGTTGTGTGTGTATCCACCTATATGCCCATATAAATAAATGAGCTAAATATATAAACAACTAATTTATTTACCCATTGAAATGATATTAAATATACCTATCTATATACATGAATAAGAGACATATATTAAACAAATATTTTTTAAAAAAACATATTTCTTTTCTTTCTCTTTCTTTCTTTTTTCTCTTTCTCTCCTTCTCTCTCTTTCCTTTCTTTCTCTTTCTTTCTTTCTTTCTTTCTTTCTTTCTTTCTTTCTTTCTTTCTTTCTTTCTTTCTTTCTTTCTTTTATGGAGTCTCACTCTGTCACCCAGGCTGGAGTGCAGTGGCGTGATCTCAGCTCACTGCAACCTCCACCTCCCGGGTTCAAGCGATTCTCCTGCCTCAGCCTCCTGAGTAGCTGGGATTACAGGTGCACGCGACCAAGCCCAGCCAATTTTTGTATTTTTAGTAGAGACTGGGTTTCACCGTGTTGGCCAGGCTGGTCTCGAACTCCTGACCTCAGGTGATCCACCCACCTCGGCCTCCCAAAGTGCTGGGATTACAGGCATGAGCCACCGTGCCCGGCCAAAAACAGGTTTTCTAAGTAAGTTGTATATACAACATTTTACCCACCCTACAGTAGCACTCATATTCTGAAAATAAGTCTTCTTTCATAATACAGTATTATTTTCACACATCAGAAGATTTTTTTTCCTCTAAGAGACAGAGTCTTGCTCTGCAGCCTCAACTTCCCGGGTTCAAGCGATCCACCTCAACCTCCCGAGTAGCTGGGACTACACGCATGCACCAGCATGCCCAGGTAATTTTTAAACTTTTTGTAGAGATAGGGTCTTGCTATGCTGTCCAGGTTGGTCTTGAAGAAAGAAAGAAGGAAGGAAAGAAAGAAAGAGAGAGAAAGGAAAGAAAGAGAAAGAGAGAGAGGAAAGAGAAAGAAAGAAAGAAAGAAAAGAGAGAGAGGAAAGAAAGAAACAGAAAGGGGAAAGAGAAAGAAAGAAGAAAGAAAGAAAGGAAGGAAGAAGAAAAAAGAAAGAAAAGAGAGAGGAAAGAAAGAAACAAAAAGAGAGAGGAAAGAGAAAGAAAGAAAGAAAGAGAAAGAAAGAAACAAAAAGAAAGAAAGAAAAGAAAGAAAGAAAGAAAAGAAAGAAAGAAAGAGAAAGGAAGGAAGAAGAAAAAAGAAAGAAAAGAGAGAGAGGAAAGAAAGAAACAAAAAGAGAGAGGAAAGAGAAAGAAAGAAAGAAAGAAAGAGAAAGAAAGAAAGAAAGAAAGAAAGAAAGAAAGAAAGAAAGAAAGAAAGAAAGAAAGAAAGGAAGAAAGAAAGAAAGATCCCAAGCTGGCAAGCGGCAAGACACTCCCAGACTGTGCCAGGATAAGAGAGAAAGAGTCTTTGTGTTTTATTTTTGGAGACAAAGTGGAGTGCAGTGGTGCGATCTCAGCTCACCTCCGCCTCCCGGGTTCACGTCATTCTCCTGCCTCGGCCTCCCGAGTAGCTGGGATAACAGGTGCCCACCACCACGCCTGGCTCTTTTTGTATTTTTAGTAGACAAGGGGTTTCACCATGTTGGCCAGGCTGGTCTCGAACTCCTGACCTGAAGAGATCTGCTTGCTTTGGCCTCCCGAAGTGTTGGGATTACAAGTGTGAGCCACGGCACCTGGCTTTTTTTTTTTTTTTTTTTTTTTCAATAGATACAGGGTCTTGCTCTGTTGCCCAGGCTGGAGTGCCGTAGTCCAGTCATAGGTCACTGCAGCCTCAAACTCTTGGGCTTAAGCTATCCTTTCAGCTCAGCCTCCTGAGTAGCTGGAAATACAGGTGCGTGTGCCACCACGCTTGAATAATTTTCATTTTAATTTTTGTAGACACAGGGTCATGGTATGTTGCCCAGGCTGGTCTTGAACTCCTAGCCTCAAGCAATCCTCCCACGGCGGCCTCCCAGAGTGATGGGATTACAGGTGTGAGCCAACGTGCCTGGTCTTGTCCTAGAATTCGGAGGCATCCTGCAGCCCGTAGCAAGTCTAAATGACTTTTACCATGTTCTCCCTCTTCCCGGCTCCCCTCATCCCAGGTTACAGGCTTATATCAAAGCGTCCAACTGTTGGCAAAACATCAATTTGCATTTTTCAGACATCCAGGGCCAACGTGCTGCACCTGCCTTCTATTCCCAGACAGGAACTCGGAACGTAGGTGGCTGTTTACATATTTGACCGTGCGAGAGGCAGGTACCTGGAAACGTCCGTAGGTGGAGGATAAGGGGAGACATTCTGCTTCCTGAATGTCATGGATGGGAAGACACACATCCCAGCCCCTGTGGGGGAGGCTCAGAGTGTCCCTCAACAAACAGGGTCAATTTGTGAGGAAAGAGGGCCGTTGAAAGCTCTGTGATTGGCCGGGCACGGTGGCTCAGGCCCGTCATCACAGCACTTTGGGAGGCCGAGACGGGTGGATTGCCTGAGGTCAGGAGTTCGAGACCAGCCTGGCCAGCATAGTGAAACCCCGTCTCTACTAAAAATGCAAAAAAAATTAGCTGGGCTTGGTGGCTGGTGCCAGCTACTCAGGAGGCTGAGGCAGGAGAATCGCTTGAACCCGGGAGGCGGAGGTTGCAGTGAGCCGAGATCCATCCATTGCACTCCAGCCTGGGTGACAGGGACGACATTCCAGAAAAAAAAAAAAAAAAAAAAAAAAAAAAAAAAGCTCTGCGATTTTTGCAAAACCGGGAAGGCGGGGAACCCAGGCCTGTTTTAAAATAGTCCACCTAAATTATAAGTATGGCTCGTGGTGTGTTTTCCAAAGAAGAACCCTCCTTTAACGAGACCCCGCCTAGGCCGGCCGCTGTTGTAAATCTCCTGGTGGTGTGGACATAGCCAGGGGCTGGAGGTGGACCCCTCTGGATTTGTAGGTAGGAAGCAAAGAAGGGGCAGGTCCACTGCTCACCGCAGTTCCATATTTATGACGCGAGGACGCTGGGGAAAGCAACGAGTGTGTCACAAATGCGGTGAGGCCACCGTTCACCGTATTTTACGCTCACGACTTGTTTTCTTTTCATTTATGTCCCGGTCGATGAAAACGAAACGTATTCCTTAAAAAGAACACGCCTGATGCCAAAGAAAGGCACACGAGTGTGGGCGTCCCAGGGTGCAGAGGGCTGGCACTAGTTACCCTGGTGACTTTGCCGTGTCCCCTCTCATCCCCAGGATTGGACGTGCAAAGCGTCAGTAGTTAAAAAACACGACCAGACCGAAGAGAAATGGGAACCACCCACCATTCTGGTGGGGCAGGGCCTGCAGAAAATAAAGGAGATGTTCCACCCCGTGAGTCAACGTGGCAGGGTCCACGTTCCCAGGCAGGGTGGTGTCCAGCCTCAGGGCCCAAGCCAGCGGAAGCGCTGCGCTCACTAAAGACGCTCCGTTATGTCCTGTGGGTTTTGCAGCCAGCTTTATGGAGGGCGGTTCTCCTCCTGAACATCCGTGATGCTTTTTTTCGGGAAACCGCGGGGAACATTCCTCAGCAAAATTTGTGGCGTTGCAAACTTTCCAGCCAAAGCCATCAGTGGTTTTCAGCCCCATGCACTGTCCTCCCAGAGACGGGTCTGAAACGCATCTTCTTTTTTGAGACGGAGTCTCGCTCTGTGGCCCAGGCTGCAATGCAGTGGCGTGATCTCGGCTCACTGCAACCTCCGCCTCCCGGGTTCAAGCGATTCTCCTGCCTCAGCCTCCTGAGTAGCTGGGATGACAGACGCCCGCCACCATGCCTGGGTAATTTTTGTATTTTTACTAGAGACCGAGTTTCACCATGTTGGCCAGGCTGGTCTCGAACTCCTGACCTCAGGCGATCCACCTGCCTCGGCCTCCCAAAGTGCTGGGATGACAGGCGTGAGCCACTGCGCCCAGTCAGAAGTGCACAACCTACTGCCCCGTGGGTCTAGGGAAATTGTGGAAGATTCCTCTGGGCCTGTGTCTGTTTGGAAGTGTCTGTAATTCGGGACAAAGCTGGCGGGATATTGGAGGGAAAAATGGAGCCAGGAATGGGCTCAGAAAAATGGAGGCAGCAACGCCTGTAACAGGTTATTTAAAGAATTTTTTAAAAATCCTTGGCTTGGATTAACAAGCAGAGGGTTTCCATTAGAACACAAATCAAGGTGTTAACACCTACAGATGTAGCCTACTTTTGTTCTCATTTAAAACATTTTTTTTTTTGAGACAGGGTCTCACCCTGTCGCTCAGACTGGGGTGCAGTGGTGTGATCTCGGCTCACTACATCTTCCAGCTCCCAGGCTCAAGTGAGCCTCCTACCTCAGCCTCCTGAGTAGCTGGGATTACACAACACGCATGTGCCACCATGCCCAGCTAATTTTTATTTTTGTAAAGACAGGGTCTCACTATGTTGCCCAGGCCGGTCTCGAACTCTTGGCCCCAAGCGATCCTCCTGTCTTGGTCTCCCAAAGTGCTCGAATCACAGGTGTGAGCCACCAAGCCTGGCCTTCTAGATGCTGGATGCCAGGGCCATCGGAAACCGGAAATCTAGAACAAAAGTGCAGTCATGAGTCAAAGGGAAGCAAATGTGTCCGTGGAAAACTGCCCGGGCTGGTCTGGTCGGTGGAGGTTGTGACATCAGATCTTCCAACCTCTTCGTGGGAGAAATCAGTCCTATTGAAACTACAACCAGGCACTTAAACTGTTTGGAAAGACGAGCTGGTTTTATGAAAGACAATGGTCCTTTCTGTCCATAAGGATGAGATTATTGTGCATTTTTGCTTCTGGCTGAGATAAATGTAGCAAGACATATAGGAAAAAAACTGGTTACTGGGGGCCGAGCGTGGTGGCTCACCCCTGTAATTCCAGCACTTTGGGAGGCTGAGGTGGGAGGATCACTTGAGGTCGGCAGTTCGAGACCAGCCTGACCAACATGGAGAAACCCTGTCTTTACTAAAAATACAAAAATTAGCCGGACATGGTGGTGTACACTTGTAATCCCAGCTACTGGGGAGGCTGAGGCAACAGAATCCCTTGAACCCGGGAGGCAGAGGTTGTAGTGAGCTGAGATCACGCCACTGCACTCCAGCCTGGTCAACAAGAGCGAAATTCTGTCTCAAAAAAAGAAAAAAAAAAAATCACACCACAGACTGGGCGCAGTGGCTCACACCTGTAATCCCATCACTTTGGGAAGGCAAGGTGGGTGGATCACCTGAGGTCAGGAGTTCGAGACCAGCCTGGCCAACATGGTGAAACCCCGTCTCTACTAAAAATACAAAAATTACCTGGGTGTGATGGCGGGCGCCTGTAATCCCAGCTACTCGGGAGGCTGAGGCCGGAGAATCTCTTGAACCCGGGAGGCAGAGGTTGCCGTGAGCCGAGACCATGCCGTTGCACTCCAGCCTGGGCAACAGGAGTGTAACTCTGTCTCAAAAAAATAAATGAGTAAATAAATAAATAAGAAAATTCAAAAGAGAAAAGTTTTGGAAAACTGGTTACTGGGGGCGGACACCGAACGTTTTATTTATATTCGTCTGTGTTCTTTTCCTGGATAAAATATAAATTAAAACTAAAACCAAGTAACTGCGGAGAACATTGGCAAAGTTCTGTTATTACAGGAGGGGTATTTCTGAGCAAATAGGATCCCTCCGACCTCATTTTTTTCTGAGATACGACAGTAAGTGTTAAAAATGAGATGATTGCCAACCAAAAGATAATTCTTTTAAATAATTACCCTTCAAGGGAGAGCAAAAAATTAAAGGAGAACAGGAACTCAGGCTAAAGGAGCAATTTAGAATTTCTTTTCGATACTAGAATCATTGGATATCCACGGATTGTTAGTATTTTGAGATGGAGTCTTGCTCTGTTGCCCACGCTGGAGTGCAGTGGCGTGATCTCGGCTCACTACAACCTCTGCCTCCCAGGTTCAAGCGATTCTCTTGCCTCAGCCTCCCAAGTAGCTGGGACTACAGGCACCCGCCACCACGCCCAGCTAATTTTTGTATTTTTAGTAGAGACGGGGTTTCACCGTGTTGGTCAGGCTGGTCTTGAACTCCTGACATCAAGTAGTCCACCTGCCTGGGCCTCCCAAAGTGCTGGGATTACAGGCGTGCACCAGTGCATCTGGCTAATTTTTTTTTTTTTTGTATTTTTAGTAGAGACGGGGTTTCACCATGTTGGCCAGGCTGGTCTCGAACTCCTGACCTCCAGTGATCCGCCTGCCTCGGCCTCCCGAAGTGCTAACATTACAGGCATGAGCCACCACACCTGGCTGGACATCTTTCAAAGACAACATTCAGGTCTTTTAATACATGCAGGTCTTTTTTTTTTTTTTTTTTTTTTTTCTGAGACGGAATCTCACTCTGTCAGCAGGCTGGAGTGCAATGGCGCAATCTCGGCTCCCTGCAACCTCCGCCCCCTGGTTTCAAGCGATTCTCCTGCCTCAGCCTCCTGAGTAGGTGGGACTACAGGAGCATACCACCACGCCTGGCTAATTTTTGTATTTTTAAAATAGAGACAGGGTTTCACCACGTTGGCCAGGCTGGTCTTGATCTCTTGACCTCGTGATCCACCCACCTCAGCCTCCCAAAGTGCTGGGATTACAGGCATCAGCCACTGTGCCTGGCCCATGCAGGTCTTTTAATACGTGCTGAGAACCTGTTTTCTTGTCGTCTGGGGCCTCCTGCATTCGTTGACCTGTGACCATACATCCCATCACCTTCTATCTCCTCTACCTCTCTATGGAAACTCCCTCTGCCTCCCTGGCTCGTGGTCTCTTGTGTTTACCTTTAAGGCCCAGCCAGATAACCCAGCATAATCCCCCATTTCAAGACCCCTTATCTGAATGGGATCAGCAAAGTTCCTTTTGCCAGACAGCCTACTGCATCCACAAGTTCCCGAGATTTGGATGTGTATGTGTATCAGTTCGTACTCACACTGCTATAAAGATCCTACCTGGCCAGCTGCAGTGGCTCACACCTGTAATCCCAGCACTTTGGGAGGCTGAGGCAGGCAGATCACCTGAGGTCAGGAGTTCCAGACCAGCCTGGCAACAGGGTGAAACCCCATCTCTACTAAAAATACAAAATTAGCTGGGCGTGGTGGCACATACCTGTCATCCCAGCTACTTAGGAGGCTGAGGCAGGAGAATCACTTGAACCCGGGAGGCAGAGGTTGTGGTGAGCCGAGATTGCGCCATTGCACTCCAGCCTGGGAAACAAGAGTGAAATTCCGGCTCAAAAAAACAAATCAAAACAAAACAAATTCCTACCTAAGATTTGCAGCCGGGCGTGGTGGCTAATGCTTGCAATCCCAGCACTTTGGGAGGCTGAGGCAGGTGGATCACTTGAGGTCAGGAATTCGAGACCAGCCTGGACAACATGATGAGACCCCGTCTCCACTAAAAATACAAAATTTAGCCAGGTGTGGTGGCACATGCCTGTAATCCAAGCTACTCGGGAGGCTGAGGCAGGAGAATTGCTTGAACCCAGGAGGCAGAGGTTGCAGTGAGTCAAGAACACGCCACTGCACTCCAGCCTGGGCAACAGAGCGAGACTCCATCTAAAAAAAAATTTTTTTTCCAGAAAGCAACGATTTATGTGGTTTTTTAATTGTGTGCTATTCTGATGTGTCTCGCATGGGATATGACTCATCTTTCTGTCTGGTGCCCCCACCATGCTGTAGACACAATCCGTCCATTAGTCACTTAGCAACCGCTTCAGTGATCAGAGCGAGTGTTGTGGTATCTTAATGCTTGTGTTGAAGAACCTTTACTTGACTTAAAAAATGGCCCCGGCGTGCAAGAGGAGTGATGCTTGAGTATTTCTATAATGGTTCTATCTTACTATTAGTTATTGTTGTTTGTCTTTGGCTCTGCCTAACTTACAAACTAAACTTTAGAATAGGTATGTGCGTCTAGGAGGAAGCACAGCATATACAGGTCTTGCTGCTACTGGATGTTTCCGGCATCCCCGTGGGGTCTTGAAATGCATCCTTCATGGATAAAAGGAGACTTTTGTAGATGCTGCACTGGTGATTTTCATTTCTGTCAATGTTAGGGATTGAACATTGTTATATGGTGATTGCTTCGTCAACCTGATGTTTGGTTGTTCATGTTTGGAAACCCAGACTCCAAAAGGAGGGCAAACACCAGAGGGGATATTTGCTGGTTCTCAACCTGCCCTACGTGATTGCGTTTGTTTCAGAAGGGGCTGTAAGGAGCTCTTGCCTGCCCCATCTTTCTCTCCCCAACATGTCCACGCATTCCACACCCAATATGGTGTCCGTAGGACGTTGACATTTGCACACATTGCACACCCAATATGGTGGCCATAGAATGTTGACATTTCCTTGCATTCCACACCTAATATGGTGTCCATAGGATGTTGACATTTCCATGCATTACACACCCAATCGTTGACATTTCCATGCATTCCACACCCAATATGGTGTCCGTAGGATGTTGACATTTCCATGCATTCCACACCCAATATGGTGTCCGTGGGATGTTGACATTTCCATGCATTCCACACCCAATATGGTGGCCGTAGGATGTTGACATTTCCATGCATTACACACCCAATATGGTGGCCGTAGAATGTTGACCATCCCAAGACCATGTCGGCTTTGATATTGCCACGGTGTGAAGATTTCTGTTTTTGTTTTTTGTTTTTTTTTTTTTTGGAAACGGAATCTCTCTCTGTCACCCAGGCTGGAGTGCAGTGGCGCGATCTCGGCTCACTACAACCTCCGCCTCCCGGGTTCAAGTGATTCTCCTGCTTCAGCCTCCCGAGTAGCTGGGACTACAGGCACCTGCCACCATGCCCGGCTAATTTTTTGTATTTTTAGTAGAGACAGGGTTTCACCATGTTAGCCAGGATGGTCTCGATCTCCTGACCTCATGATCCTCCCGCCTCAGCCTCCCAAAGTGCTGGGATTACAGGCGTGAGCCACTGCACCTGGCCATAAGATTTCATTTTTTTTCTGTTGTTTTATTTTTTGAGATGGAGTCTCGCTCTGTCACCCAGGCTCTAGTGCAATGGCACAATCTCAGCTCACTGCAACCTCCACCTCCCGGGTTCAGGCGATTCTCCTGCCTCAGCCTCTCGAGTAGCTGGGATTACAGGTGCCCGCCACCACGCCCGGATAATTTTTTGTATTTTTAGTAGAGATGGGGTTTCACCATGTTAACCAGGCTGGTCTTCATCTCCTGACCTCGTGATCTGCCCGCCTCGGCCTCCGAAAGTGCTGGGATGACAGGCATGAGCCACCGCGCCCAGCCAGAAGATTTCATTTTTTCTTTTTATTTTTTTCTTTTTTGAGACAGAAGCTTGCTCTGTCTCCCAGGCTGGAGGGCAGTGGCGCAATCTCGGCTCACTGCAACCTCAACCTCCCGCGTTCAGGCGATTCTCCTGCCTCAGCCTCCCGAGTAGCTGTGATTACAGGCACCCGCCAACACGCCCGGCTAATTTTTTGTATTTTTAGTAGAGTCGGGGTTTCACCGTGTTAACCAGGCTGGTCTTGATCTCCTGACCTCGTGATCTGTCTGCCTCGGCCTAGGAAAGTGCTGGGATGACAGGCGTGAACCACTGCGCCCGGCCAGATTTTATTTTCTTCTGCAGAAAGTGGCTTTGCTGGTGGGGAGCCATCCCCCAAGGAAGTGTGAAGTTCCTCTTGAAAAGGGTGAGAGTGTTTTCTCTGCTTCCATGACCAGGGCTAAGTGGAAACATTGAATCAATATTAACCCCATCCAGTCTTCAAGGCCTTTTTATGGGTGTGTGTGTATGTGTGTGTGTGTGTGTGTGTGTATTTTCCAGAGACGTCAACCCTCTCTCTGGGATAATGAGAGAAATTTCCTAACAGAGTACTTCTCCCTCGCTCAAAGGGAGTGACATTTTGTAATGCTTTCTGAAATCAAGCCATTCTGACCCAATGACTTTTCGATGAGTTAAGGGCTAAATGAATCAGACGCGTGTGGGTTCAATTTACTTCTCAACACTTTGGCTTAAAAGCCTTCCAGAAAAAAAAAAAAAGAAAAGAAAAGCCCTTTTCTTTCTTCCTTCCTTCCTTCCCTTCCTCCCTTCCTTCATTTCTTTCCTTCCTTCCTCCTTCCTTCCTTCCGTCCTTCCGTCTTTCTTTCTTTCTTTCTTTCTTTCTTTCTTTCTTTCTTTCTTTCTTTCTTTCTTTCTTTCTTTCTGTCTTTCTTTCTTTCTGTCTTTCTTTCTTTCTTCTTTTTCTTTCTTTCGTTCGAAACGGAGTCTCACTCTGTCGCCCAGGCTGGAGTGCAGTGGTGTGATCTCGGCTCACTGCAACCTCCACCTCCTGGGTTCAAGCGACTCTCTTGCCTCAGCCTCCCGAGTAGCTGGGATGACAGGTGCCCGCCACCACATCTGGCTAATTTGTGTATATTTAGTAGAGACGAGGTTTCAGCATGTTGGTCAGGCTGGTCTCGAACTCCTGACCTCAGGGGATCCGCCCACCTCGGCCTCCCAAAGTGCTGGGATTACAGGTGTGAGCCGCCATGCCCGGCCCCTCATACCTCACCCCAATCATTTGAGAAACAGACAGAGATGTTTTGATATGCACCAGAGGCTGGAGCAGGTGACTGGGGCAAGTCCAACAGGTACTTCCCCATTGACCACGGGGGAAGAGAGAACCTTGTTTCTTAAGTGTGATGAGGAGGTTTTTTGTTTTGTTTTGTTTTGTTTTTTTGAGATGGGGTCTCGCTCTGTCACCCAGGCTGGAGTGCAGTGGCGCGATCTCAGCTCACTGCAAATTCCGCCTCCTGGATTCACGCCATTCTCCTGCCTCAGCCTCCTGAGTAGCTGGGACTACAGGCGCCTACCAGCACGCCCGGCTAATTTTTTTGTATTTTTAGTAGAGACGGGGTTTCACCGTGTTAGCCAGGATGGTCTCGATCTCCTGACCTCTTGATCCACCTGCGTCGGCCTTCCAAGTATTGATGAGGTTTTTAATGAGATTTGTGTGAAGGGTTCCTTGGAGACACTCGGTAAAGAAAACGACAAATAGTAACAGGTTGCAAAGGAGGTCTCTGCGTAACCTGGGGAGCTGCTGTCCAGGGGTACCTCGAAAGCATGAGGAGCTGCAGACAGTCCGTAGTTTCCAGCTGACCTGGGCGTGGGCATCTGTGATCTGTGTGTGGCAGGGTGTAAGCAGGCTTTGATGCCTAGACACCTTTTCTTTATTTAGCAGCTGTAACATCCAATGAACTCTGAACTGTTTATGGGCCTCCTGCTCCCCAAAGGGTACACACCCTGCTTCTGCTGGCTTCATGCCTCAGAACTGTGGTGTCGTTGGTCTCAGACACCACTTTGCCATCCACTATCCGGAGGGTGGGGGTCTTTTGGATAGTTTGCGTGGAGTTGCTGCTGTCCAGGGCATCACCAAGACTCTAACAGAGAAGACCAAGCCCCAGTTAGCGTTTGCAGGCATTCGGGGGAGAGGGTGGGGAGAGCGCAGGTCGCTGCCTGTCCCTAGAACCTCACTGTCTGTCTGAGAAGTGATTAGATTGCAGGCACGTGGAGGGTGGCGGGGATCAACTCTCTCAGGGCCTCTAATCACACGTGGCACTTGCTGTCAGCAAGACGGCTTTGGAGCGGGGACGTGGATCATTAGGGATGAACCTGCAGATCATGACAACAAATGGGGTCTTAATCTCCCAAGAAAGGGGATGTCGCCGGCTGGCTTGGGAGGCAGGGGTCCCCGAGCGCGACGGTGCTGGCTGGCCCGCCTGCATCCCATTTGCAGAGCAAGCTTCTGCGTTCAGGGCCTGGCCGGGCCATGGAAATGGCTGGGCTGTGAGCATCGTGAATTCCTGGACCCTGCTGGAAAAGGAAGCGTCTGACGTGGGCAGTGACCGTGACTCACAGAGACATGAAAAGTACAAAATGTGACCACTTGTTTATAGCTGTAACTAATTTTAGCAGAGGTCTTGGCATCTAGAAAACATACTTTTTTTTTTTTTTCCTTCGGTGAATGTGTAGTAAAGATATAAGCTTGCCCCCAAACAGATCTGGATTTTGCCTTTGAGCTCTGGGAGGTCACTCTGAAGGACTTAGGATGTCATGCCTGATAAGAATGTCATTATTTCGGCCAGGTGCAGTGGCTCACACCTGTAATCGCAGCACTTTGGGAGGCTGAGGCGGGTGGATCGCCTGAGGTCAGGAGTTTGAGACCAGCCTGGCCAACATGGTGAAACCCCGTCTCTACTGAAAATACCAAATTAGCCGAGCATGGTGGCCGGTGCCCGTAATCCAAGCGACTCGGGAGGCTGAGGCAGGAGAATCGCATGAACCCGGGAGGCTGAGGTTGCAGAGAGCCAAGATCGTGTCATTGCACTCCAGCCTGGGCAACAAGAGCAAAACTCTGTAAAAACAAACAAACAACAACAAAAAAAAAAAATAGAGAGAGAGAGAGAAGGGGCTGGGCGCAGTGGCTCATGCCTGTAATCCCAGCATATTGGGAGGCCGAGGCAGGCAGATCACCTGAGGTTAGGAGTTCGAGACCAGCCTGGCCAACATGGTGAAACCCCATCTCTACTAAAAATACAAAAATTAGCAGGGCCTGTTGGTGGACGCCTATAATCCCAGCTACTTGGGAGGCTGAGGCAGGAGAATCGCTTGAACCTGGGAGGCGGAGGTTGCAGTGAACTGAGATCACCCCATTGCACTCCAGCCTGGACGACAAGAGCGAGACTTCGTCTCAAAAAACAAAGCAACAAAACAAAACAAAACAAAAAACAAACAAAAAAACAACTGTATTGAGGTTTAATTGACATACCACGAAATGCATTCATTTTGACTATACAGTTCAATGCCTCTTAGTAAATTTGTAGAGTTGCACGACCATCACCAAATCTAATTCTGGAATATTTTTATCACCCCAGAAAAGAAATTGCATAGCTATTGTCACTCACTTGTCTTCCCTTATCCCATTTCTGCCCAGAGCCTCAGGCAACCACTCATCTCTATTCTGCCTCTATGGATTTTCCTTTTCTGCGCAATTTCTTTGCATCGAATTACACAATATGGAGTCTTTTATCCCAGACTTCTACTTAGCGTTATGTTTTTGAGGTGCATCCGTGTTGGACCATATATCGGTATGTCATTGGCTGAATAATATTCCATTGCAGGGAAAGACCACAGTGTCTTTATCTGTTCACCTGCTGAAAAGACATAGGCTGTTTACACGTCTTGGCTGTTACAAATCATGCTGCTAGGAATATTTACCTACAAGTCTTTGAGTAAACATAAGTTTTCATTTCTCTTGGGTAGACGCCCACAGGAGGAATTGCTGGATTGAATGGTGAGTTTGTGTTCAACTTTTTTTTTTTTTTTTGATGGGGTCTCACTCTGTCGCCCAGGCTGGAGTGCAGTGGCTCGATCTCAGCTCAACACAACCTCCGCCTCCAGGGTTCAAGCGATTCTCCTGCCTCATCCTCCCGAGTAGCTGGGATTACAGGCGCCCACCACCACACCCGGCTAATTTTTGTATTTTTAGTAAAGACGGGGTTTCTCCATGTTGGTCAGGCTGGTCTCGAACTCCCGACCTCAGGTGATCCACCTGCCTCGGCCTCCCAAAGTGCTGGGATGACAGGTGTGTGTGTTCCACTTTTTAAGAAACTGTCAATGTGTTTTCCAAAGTGACTATATCAGTTGACATTTCTACACACAGTGGTTCTCACAAATACTTAATAACATCTTTTTTTTTTTGTAGCCATTCCTGTGGATATGTAGTGGTATCTTGTGGTTTTAATGTCTCAAATGAGGAAGGATGTTGAGACTCAATGCTGATTCAAGATCTACATAGTAGGCCAGGAGCAGTGTCTCATGCCTGTAATCCCAGCACTTTGGGAGGCTGGGGTGGGCGGATCGCGAGGTCAGGAGATCGAGACCATCCTGGCCAACATGATGAAACCCCGTCTCTACTAAAAATACAAAAATTCAGCCGGGCATGGTGGCAGGTCCCTGTAGCCCCAGAAACTCAGGAGGCTGAGGCAGGAGAATTGCTTGAACCAGGGAGGCGGAGGTTGCAGTGAGCTGAGATTGTGCCACTGCACTCCAGCCTGGGTGACAGAGTGAGACTCCATCTCAAAAAACAAAAACGAAAACAAACAACAACAGAAAAACAAGATCTACATAGTTATAAGCCTCCATCAGAAACAAACAAACAAAAAAAACAAAGAAAACCCAAAACATCTACGTAGTTATGAGACTTGACTTTTGGAGCTGACTTTTTGGGATTAAATGACTCAGGTAAACTGGTTTATTTGTATGGCTATCTTTTCCCCCAGGGAAAGTGTTTGCTCACCTATCCCTACAACAAAATGTAAGCAGATCCAATGAATGAGGTGAATTCTTGGGGTGGATGGAAACTCATCCCATGTGGCTTTGTCATTTTGATCTCCGTGATGGGATGCGCCGTTTTGTCGAAGAGGGTAGCTGTCCATCTCCCTTCCTGGGGATCCTGGATTCATTAATTTCCTGATCACGTATTTCTTTCGTCCCTGCTCTTAATGTCCGTGCCCCAGTTTAGAGGACAGACCTGCCTGAAGGCTTTCTGTATCTCTGAACTGCACTAATCAGCTGTTCATAACTTCCATAGATGTCTATAAAATGTGCAGCTAGCAGGATTAAATGCTCTACCTTCACCGTACGACAGACAGGAGTGTTCTCACTCACCACCAGAGCCTGCGCAGATCAGTCCATTAATTAGGTGGCTGTTGCTTGTGTCCGAGATTATTTTCTGCTTATATAGAGGTTTCCCTGGCTGCATCAGCTGACTAGTTTTCCGAACAGATTTCAGCCATTCTTATTTATTTCCTCAGGCAAAGAAAATGTAAGCTTTTTAAGAGAAAATACTTACCCTACTTTTAATGATAAATAAGACAAGAAGAGTTTTCTCCTGTTTAAAAATTCCCTATATGACAAAATACACAGTTAAACTTTGTATGGCTTAAAAATAGCTTGCCCTATCGCTCCATAAACCAGGAAATATGGAATTCTTGGATGGCCCTAAAGAAATTTGGTGAGGAATCCAAGCCTTTTAAAAACTAGATAGGCACAATCTAGACACACATATTCAATGACAGGTTTTTTTCTTACGTATCTGCCCATTCATCTGCCCATCTATCTCTTCGTCCATTAATCTTTCCATACATCATTCCACCCACCCATTCATCCATTCACCCATCCATCCACCCACTCACCCATCTGCTCATTTATCTACCCATCTATATATCCATCCATCCATCCATCCACCTACCCACTCATCCATCCATTTATCCATTATCCATCCAACCTTCCAATCATCTATCCATGCATCCTTCCATCCACCCATCCATCCATCCATCTACTCATTCATTCATTTATCCATTATTCATTCATCTGTTCATTAATCTATCTATCCATCCATCCACCCATCCATCCAAACTTTCATCCATCCATCCATCCATCCATCCATCCATCCACCTACTGAGAACATCCATCCATTTATCCATTATGCATTCAACCTTCCATCCACCCATCCATCTACTCATTCATTCATTTATCCATGATTCATTCATCTGTTCATTCATCTATCCATCCACCCACCCATCCATCCAACCTTCCTTCCCTTCATCCATCCATCCACCCACCCATCTACCCATCGATTCATTCATCCACCCAGCCACTCATCTGTTTATTCATCTATCCATCCATTCACCCACCCATCCATCTGTCCATCCATCCATCCATCCAACCATTCACCCATCTTCCCATTTATCTACCCATCTATCCATCCATGCATCCATCCATCCATGCATGCATGCATCCATCCATCCATCCCTCCATCCATCCATCCATCGACCTACCCACTCATCCATCCATTCATCCATTATGCATCCAACCTTCCAATCATCCATCTATCTATGCATCCATCCATCCATCCATCCACTCATTCATTCATCTATCCATTATTCATTCATCTATCTATCCATCCGTCCACTCATCCATCCAGCCTTCCATCCCTTCTTCCATCCATCCACCCACCCATCTACCCATCGATTCATTCATCCACCCAGCCACTCATCTATTTATCTATCAATCCATCCATCCATCCATCCATCCACCCACCCACTCACCCATCTGCCCATTTATCTACCCATCTTCCCATCCATCCATCCTTCCATCCATCCATCCATCCACCCACTCATCCATCCATCCATCCACCTACCCACTCATCCATCCATTTATCCATTATCCATCCAACCTTCCAATCATCCGTCTATCTATGCATCCTTCCATCCATCCATCCATCTACTTATTCATTCATCTATCCATTATTCATTCATCTGTTTGTTCATCCATCCATCCATCCATCCATCCATCCAACATTCCATCCATTCATCCATCCACCCACTCATGTATTTATTTATCTATCCATCCATTAACCCACCCATCCATCTATCTATTCATCCATCCATCCATCCATCCATCCATCCATCCATCCAACGTTCCATCCATTCATCCATCCACCCACTCATGTATTTATTTATCTATCCATCCATTAACCCACCCATCCATCTATCCATCCATCCATCCATCCATCCATCCAATCATCCATCTATCCGTCCATCCATTCACTCATGCATCCATCCAATCATCCATTCATCCATCTACCTACCCAATCATCCATCCATTCATCTGTTATCTATCCAACCTACCAATCATCCATCTATCTATGCATCCATCCATCCATCCACCCTCCCATCTATCCATATATCCATTCATCCATCAATCCAACCACTCATTCTTCCATCTATCCATTTTTCATTCTTCTATTCATTCATCCATCCATCCATCCACTCATCTATTCAGTCATCCATTCACCCACCCATCTATCCATCCATTCATCCATCCATCCATTCATTCATCCACACAGCCACTCATCTATTTACTTATCTATCCATCCATCCACCCACCCATCCATCGATCTATCCATCCACCCATCCGTCTATCCACTCATCCATCCATCCATTGATCCATTCACCTACCCATTCATCTATCCATCCATGCATCCATCCATCCAATCATCCATCTATCCATTCATCCAGCCACCTCAATAAGTTGAAGACTATCTGCCCCTTCCTGCAAAAACCTTATAATTTTTTGAAATAAAAGAGTAAGATCAAGGGTCACCAACATACAATCTTCCCATTTGTTCCCAGGGTACAGCCACACTCTTGCGTTTTTGCATGATCTCTTCTAGGTGAATACTTCTCTCTCTTCCTTCCTCTCTCTCTCTCTTCTTTCTTTCTTCCTTCCTCTCTCTCTCTCTCCTTTCTTTCTTTCTCTCTTTCTCTCTTTCTTTCTTTCTTTCTTCTTTCTTACTCTTTCTTTCTTTCTGTTTCTGTCTTTCTTTTTCTCTCTTCCTTTCCTTCTTTCTTTCTTCTTTCTTACTCTTTCTTTCTTTCTGTTTCTTTTTTTCTTTTTCTCTCTTCCTTTTCTTCCTTCTTTCTTTCTTCTTTCTCTTTCTTTCTTTATTTCTTTCTTCTTTCTCTTTCTCTCTTTCTTTTTCTTTCTCTTTCTCTCTCTCTTTCTCTCTTTCTTTCTTTCTTTTTTTTTCTTTCTTCTCTCGTCCTTTCCTTCTTTCCTTCTTTCCTGTCTCTCTCTCCCTTTCCCTCCTTCCTTCCTTGCACATACACACAATCAGGCATAAAACATGCACAAACACACAGAAACACACACAAACGTGCACAAATACACACATATAAACAAATATACACAAACAGACGTGCAGAAACACACATGCATGCACAATCATGCAAACAGACACACACAGACACACATATGAGCATGCGGAAACAGACATACATGCACAAATACACACAGACAAACATGCACAAACACACACATGCTCAGATACACAAAAAAAACCATGCACAGATACAGACATTCACAAATAAACTCACAAACATGCACAGATACACACAGTCATGCACACAAACATGCACAAATACACATAAACATACAGACACACAGACGAACATGCACACATATGAATGCACAAATACACGTACACACACACACAAAAAGCACAAATACATGCACACAAACACATAAAAACACACAAACACACACGTGCAGAGGAAATATTGTCTATATTACAGGCAGCTACTGCCATGGCCAGCTAATTTTTTGTATTTTTAGCAGAGATGGGGTTTTGCCCTGTTGGCCAGGCTGGTCTCAAACTCCAGACCTCAGGTGATCCGCCTGCCTCAGCCTCGCAAAGTGCTGGGATGACAGGCATGAGCCACCACACCCGGCCTGTGGTGTGATTTTTTTTTTTCTTTTTTTGAGAAGGAATTCCACTCTTGTTGCCCAGGCTGTAGTGCAATGGTGCGACGTCAGCTTACTGCAACCTCTGCCTCCCGGGTTCACACCATTCTCCTGCCTCAGCCTCCCGAGTAGCTGGGATTACAGGCAGCTACCACCATGCCCGGCTAGTTTTTTGTATTTTTAGTAGAGACGGGGTTTCACCATGTTGGCCAGGCTGATCTCGAACTCCTGACCTCAGGTGATCCACCTGCCTCAGCCTCCCAAAGTGCTGGGATGACAGGTGTGAGCCACCGCACTCGGCCTGCGGTGTGATTTTTTATGTACCCAAACATACTGGCATTGCTGCCGGGACGGTCGACTGCCTGAGATTTCAATGCGTTTGTCGTTCGGATCTGCAAGGGCGATGAAAGTTTTAAAGTCCCCACGTGCTCAGGTGTCCTGTGGGTTGAGGTTCTTTACAGACAGGTTTCCACTCCCTTTGCTCCCAGATCTGAGCCTCTGCTGAAGACAATGCCTCATCTTCGATGGGAAAAAGGCACAAGTCTTTGGCGATTCCCTTTTTCGTTCTCATACGTAGAAACCCCACTGTCTTCTTCACGGCCAGTGACTCTGTCGAATGTCCCAAGTCAACCGGGGAGAAAACCCCAAATTATGAAACAATTAAAAAAAAAATAGTCGTTCGATTTTTTTTTCTTTCCCCCGTAACGTCGTTAGTAGCCCCATGGACTTGAGGTTGCCTTGGGCCAGAAGTTACGTTTCTCATTAATATACATCAGCTGTTCTCTGTTTCTTTTTTTTTTCATACCGACCGTGGTAGCCAGGCACCTGTCCCCCTTTTGTTCCTCGATAGAGCGTGTCTGAACGTAAAAGAAAAATTGTCACTTCTCATTACGTGAACTAAGGGTACGAGAATTGATGGGCCTTTCTACCTAATGCTGTTATCCGAACCAGGTTTGTTTATTTAATGAACAAAATGTCACATCAAATCTGTCTTCCCCTGACGTCTGAACCCCTGGCAGCTGCTGGTGGCAGGGTTTCCTGAAATGGGGAGGTGGAGGGGGGCTAGCTGGATTAACTAATTTAATTTGCATGTGATTCAAAAGTTAAAGCAAAGACTCACACCTCCTCTGACGGAACAAATTCTCTTATTATTATTACTATTGTTTTTTTTTTTTCAGATGGAGACTTCCTCTGTCCCCCAGGCTGGAGTGCAGTGGTGCAATCTCGGCTCACTGCAACCTCCGCCTCCCGGGTTCAAGCGATTCTCCTGCCTCAGCTTCCCAAGTAGCTGGGATGACAGGTTCCTGCCACCATGCCTGGGTAATTTTGGAATTTTTAGTAGAGACGGGGTTTCACCATGTTGGTCAGGCTGGTCTCGAACTCCTGATCTCAGGCTGGAGTGCAGTGGCATGATGTCGACTCACCGCAATCTCTGCCTCCCAGGTTGAATCGGTTCTCCTGCCTCAGCCTCCCAAGTAGCTGGGATTACAGGCACCCGCCACCAGGCCAGGCAAATGCTTGTATTTTTAGTAGAGACGTTTCACCGTGTTGGTCAGGCTGGTCTCGAACTCCTGACCTCAGGCTGGAGTGCAGTGGCGTGATCTCAACTCACTGCAACCTCTGCCTCCCAGGTTGAATCGATTCTCCTGCCTCAGCCTCCCAAGTAGCTGGGATTACAGGTGCCTGCCACCAGGCCAGGCAAATGTTTGTATTTTTAGTAGAGACAGGGTTTCACCATGTTGGTCAGGCTGGTCTCGAACTCCTGACCTCAGGTGATCCTCCCGCCTTGGCCTCCCAAAGTGCTAGGGTGACAGGCGTGAACCACCATGCCAAGCTGTTATTATTATTTTTTAAAGCACATGTCCAAGGGCCATTGTATGGTGAGATTCCAGATGTTGGATGGCAAGAAGGAGGAGTCCTGACCCGGATTGGTCAACATCAGGGAAACCACAGCCCGTTTAGATGGAAGATTGAAAGTTCCGTCATGCCGTGTGAGCTTCCCACAACCGAGATACAGATACATAATCTCCCTGGGAACGTATCAAACTGTCGGGGCACCAGGAGCCTCTGCCTTCTCTTCGGCTGCCAATTTCAGGGACGAGGACCGCAGCCAGGTCAGAAGCACGGTTTGCAGGGGTGACAGCTTGTCACTTGCAGAGTTACGCAGTCTAAGCCACTTCATAAATGCAAGGTGCCGACGTGTTGGAAAGGCTGGAGTCCCGGGGTGGAAACACGTATGTCGGGGGCCAGGTGTGTCCCTGGGGGAACAGCCCACGCGTATCGGATGCCAGGTCTCCGCCCACCCCGGAGCCAGCTCCGCTTGGACTGGCCAGCTTGGGTCTGCTCTGGAGAGGGGACGTATGGAGAAGCTGCTCTGGAGAGGGGATATATGGGGAGGCTGCTCTGGAGAGGGGATGTATGGAGAGGGGACGTATGGAGAAGCTGCTCTGGAGAGGGGACGTATGGGGAGGCTGCTCTGGAGAGGGGACATATGGAGAGGCTGCTCTGGAGAGGGGATATATGGGGAGGCTGCTCTGGAGAGGGGACATATGGAGAGGCTGCTCTGGAGAGGGCATGTATGGAGAGGCTGCTCTGGAGAGGGACATACGGAGAAGGTGCTCTAGAGAGGGGACGTATGGAGAAGGTGCTGTAGAGAGGGGATATATGGAGAGGCTGCTCTGGAGAGGGGACATATGGGGAGGCTGCTCTGGAGAGGGGATATATGGGGAGGCTGCTCTGGAGAGGGGATATATGGGGAGGCTGCTCTGGAGAGGGGACATATGGAGAGGCTGCTCTGGAGAGGGGACATATGGAGAGGCTGCTCTGGAGAGGGGACGTATGGGGAGGCTGCTCTGGAGAGGGGATATATGGGGAGGCTGTTCTGGAGAGGGGACGTATGGAGAGGCTGCTCTGGAGAGGGGATATATGGGGAGGCTGCTCTGGAGAGGGGACGTATGGAGAGGCTGCTCTGGAGAGGGCATGTATGGAGAGGCTGCTCTGGAGAGGGGACATATGGAGAGGCTGCTCTGGAGAGGGGATGTATGGAGAGGGGACGTATGGAGAAGCTGCTCTGGAGAGGGGACGTATGGGGAGGCTGCTCTGGAGAGGGGACATATGGAGAGGCTGCTCTGGAGAGGGGATATATGGGGAGGCTGCTCTGGAGAGGGGACATATGGAGAGGCTGCTCTGGAGAGGGCATGTATGGAGAGGCTGCTCTGGAGAGGGGACATATGGAGAGGCTGCTCTGGAGAGGGGACGTATGGGGAGGCTGCTCTGGAGAGGGGACGTATGGGGAGGCTGCTCTGGAGAGGGGATATATGGGGAGGCTGTTCTGGAGAGGGGACGTATGGAGAGGCTGCTCTGGAGAGGGGATGTATGGAGAGAGGGGATGTATGGAGAGAGGGGATTTATGGAGAGGTCCCACACCAGGCTCCATCCAAGGAAGGGAGAAGCATTTTCACCCAGGCCCTGTTTACGCTTCGCCGCGCTGTCCTCTGTCACGCACCGTGGCCGAGACCACAGCTGAACGTCCAGAGGCTGCAGAGAAAAACAGAAGCTGGCTCTGTGTGTGTGTGTGTGTGTGTGTGTGTGACATGACAGCCGGGCCTCTGAAGCGCGCCGTGGAAGACGCAGTTGTGAGGATATACGTGGCAATTAAAAATAATTGGCAAGCAGGTCTCGTTCAGCCCTTCGGAGAATGCAGCGACCATATAATGATGTTTCATTAGCCATGCTGTACACTGCACGCTCCGTATGGCACTCACAATTAAACAGCCTCATAAAGGAGAGAAGGAGGGAAGAGAGAAACATGAAAAAACCCAAAATACCCCAGCTCAGATTAGCATTGCATGTAATCGGCACTTCATTAGCTAATTGATTTCTTATTAGTTACAGGCAGTGGCCCAGCTAGGGCTTCTGCACACGTCATTAGCTGCATTTACACCGTTATGCGGATGCTCGTTTTGTAGCTAAACATTCCTGGAATCAAGGGTGCCTCTGTTGCTTACGGCAATTGCACTCACTTTATTTTATGTTTTCTTGCTAATGTTGGCTTAACCTCCAAATCAAAAATTCTCTCCCCCTGGAGTGGGGGGGAGCCTCACCAGATTTAATCACAACGTTCAACACAGAGAAACAGGCCACGTCATCCGATCTGAGCTCAGCTACGTCTTGTTTGCTGTGTTTTATTTTCAGCTTGTTTTATGGCTCGCCGGAAAAAGCCAGCCGTCTTCCCCGGGGACAGTCATCTCTGGACAGGGTGCATGTCCCCCCTCACGACGTCCAATGTCACCACGGCTGCATGTCGCACCTTGCAGATGGACAGCTGTAGGCCTGACCACACCTGTCTTTAAATGCTTCTTGGGGTGGTGGGGGGAGGGGGAAGTTTGCAGAGGTCTGAAATTCACAGGTAACCGTCTCTCTCCATGGCACAGAAATGGATTGCGAACTGGCGTCGGCCACGGAGAGGCTGCTTGGACCTCAGTGTAGGATTACTTTTGGTTATACGATATTTTATAAGCATATATAATTTGGTTTTCTGATTTTGGGTTTTTTGTTTTATTTATTTATTATTTATTTATATATGATTTATTATTTATTTGATTATTTATTTATTATCTTATTTACTTATTTATTTATTTAATTTTTTTTTCTGAGACGGAGTCTCGCTCTGTCGCCCAGGCTGGAGTGCGGTGGCGCGATCTCGGCTCACTGCAAGCTCCGCCTCTCGGGTTCACGCCATTCTCCTGCCTCAGCCTCCCGAGTAGCTGGGACTACAGGTGCCCGCCACCACGCCCGGCTAATGTTTGTATTTTTAGTAGAGACGGGGTTTCACCGTGTTGGCCAGGCTGGTCTCGATCTCCTGACCTCAGGTCATCCGCCCGCCTCGGCCTCCCAAAGTGCTGGGATTACAGGCATGAGCCACCATGCTGGGCCTGTTCCTTTTGTTTTTATTTTTTCTAGAGATGGGGGTCTTGCTGTGTTGCCCAGGCTGGTCTTGAACTCCTGGCCTCGAGCCATCCTCCCACCTCAGCCTCCCAAAGTGTTGGGATGGTGGGCACGAGACACCATGCCCGGCCCCAGATGATGTTTTAAAATGACTTCTGTGGGTGGCTTATCCAGAAGGAGTTTGAATTTTAGGGAAGCAGAACCCTAGGCCAACTCTGATTCAAAGATTAGACGATTGCCTTTTGTTGTTTTTTTTAAGACGGAGTCTCGCTGTGTCGCCCAGGCCGGAGTGCAGTGGCACCATCTCGGCTCACTGCAAGCTCCGCCTCTGGGGTTCACACCATTCTCCTGCCTCAGCATCCCGAGTAGCTGGGACTACAGGCACCCGCCACCTCGCCCGGCTAATTGTTTGTATTTTTAGTAGAGACAGGGTTTCACCGTGTTAGCCGGGATGGTCTCGATCTCCTGACCTCATGATCCACCAGCCTCGGCCTCCCAAAGTGCTGGGATGCCAGGCGTTAGCCACCGCGCCCGGCCGCCTTCTATTGTTTTAAATTTTGCAGAATCTCAGTCATGGGAGGCCACCCTCTTTGTGGGGGTGATCGAGGGTGTTTGCTGTATGGACGAAGGTGTGGATGAAAATGTTTCCATTTGAAGACACTCACGGACAGTCAATGGGCTGAATTCTGCCCCCCGCCTCACAAGACTCATGTATTGACAACCTAACGTCGAGGCCGGGCGCGGTGGCTCAAGCCTATAATCCCAGCACTTTGGGAGGCTGAGGCAGGCGGATCACAAGGTCAGGAGTTCAAGACCAGCCTGGCCAAGATGGTGAAACCCTGTCTCTACTAAAAATACAAAATTAGCCCGGCGTGGTGGCTCACGCCTGTCATCCCAGCACTTTGGGAGGCCGAGGCGGGTGGATCACCTGAGGTCAGGAGTTGGAGACCAGCCTAATCAACATGGAGGAACTGCATCTCTACTAAAAATACAAAAATTAGCCAGGCGTGGTGGCGGGCGCCTGTAATCCCAGCTACTCAGGAGGCTGGGGCAGGAGAGTTGCTTGAACCTGGGAGATGGAGGTTGCAGTGAGGTGAGATCGCACAATTGCAGTCCAGCCTGAGAAATAAGGGCGAAACTCCCTCTTAAAAAAAAAAAAAAAAAAACCCACAAAAAACAGACATCAGCAGGCCAGAACTAGAAGTCCATTCGTAAACAGCATAGCATGTTAAAATAATTCCAGCCTGGACCACATGGCAAAACCCCGTCTCTACTAAAAATGCAGACAATTAGAAGGATGTGGTGGCTCGTGCCTGTAATCCCAGCTACTCTGGAGGCTGAGGCAGGAGAGTCGCTTGAACCTGGCAGACGGAGGTTGCAGTGAGGCGAGATCACGCCATTGCGGTCCAGCCTGGGCAACGAGTACGAAACTCTGTCTAAAAAATAAAAAAATAAAAAAAAGCAGACATCAGCAGGCCAGAACTAGAAGTCAGTCCTGAAAGAGGCCCTCAGCAAAAAACATCAACTAGTAGCAGTAAGGGATAGGCAGAATCTATAAAACAGAATTTTATAAAGTAACTCACTGCACTCAGATAAAACGCGCTGTAACAAAAATGTCACTAATTTATATTAACTATGAATAACACCATTCTCCACGACTGAACAGCAGGTATTACAGAACGTTACAAAAATACGCTTACTTTCCATGAGTATGATATTGGATACTTCCAAAGTTTTGATGAATAGTGCTTGGGTGGAAAATCTGATTATTTGATAGACAATCACAATTAATCTCACATTTTCAGATGCAAAAAAAAAAAAAGTGCTTCTAAGCTACGGAAAGTCTTGCTTTCTTAAGTAATTCCAGCTTCTCTCCTGAAATCTTTACACAGTTAATTTACTCAGTCTTTGGTTAATAGCCTGTGCTAAGATAAATTTCTGCGTAAATTCTGAATTTATGAGATCCCAAGTAATGAAGTTTTATTGAAGAGACATCCCGTTCCTGATATAATTTTAATGTCATCATCATCAATTATGTTCCTAGTCCAATAGCCCTAACCTTGCAAAATTTATTTCCATCAAACGAACAAAAGTCACACACACACAAACACACACACACACACAGAGGATTCATTAAGAGCGGCAAAGATAAAATCATTACCACATCCATCTTGAGAAGTTGAGCTGATGTGTGTATTCTTCAAGGATCACATCTATTTTTTATTTTATTTTATTTTATTTTATTTTATTTTATTTTATTTTATTTTATTATTTTATTTTATTTTATTTTATTTCACTTTATTTTATTTTTATTTTTTGAGACGGAGTTCGCTCTTATTACCCAGGCTGGAGTGCAGTGGCATCATCTCGGCTCAGTGCAACCTCCGCCTCCCGGGTTCAAGCGACTCTCCTGCCTCAGCCTCTCGAGTAGCTGGGATTACAGGCACCCGCCACCACACCCAGCTAATTTTATATTTTTAGTAGAGATGGGGTTTCACCATGTTGGCCAGGCTGGTCTCCAACCTCTGACCTCAGGTGATCCACCCGCCTCGGACTCCCAAAGTGCTGGGATGACAGGCGTGAGCCACTGTGCCTGGCTGATCATATGTATTTTTAAAGACGGGGAAATAAAGCCAGCATTGCTCCTGATTTCCTTCCCTGGTCTTTGTCCCCTCCCAGAAGATAAGAAGACACTTTAAATCCTCTCAGCCTTCCTTGTCTACTACAGACTTGCTAACGCACAGAGAAGACAGCCCTGCATCTTAATGGTTGTCATCCTCTTTCATCCAGCTCCTGGCCAGTCCTTGGAAACGCCTGCCGGCCACACTACAGTCTTGCCATATTGCCCCCAAATGAGCTTATTTTTACTTATTTATTTATTTATTTTTGAGACAGACTTCTCACTCTGTCGCCAGGCTGGAGTGCAGTGGCATGATGTCAGCTCACTGCAACCTCCGCCTCCCGGGTTCAAGCGACTCTCCTTGCCTCAGCCTCCTGAGTAGCTGGGATTACAGGCGCCAGCCACCACGCCCAGCTAATTTTTGTATTTTTAGTAGAGACGGGGTTTCACCATGTTGATTAGGCTGGTCTCAAACTCCTGACATCAGGTGGTCCACCTGCCTCGGTCTCCCAAAGTGCTGGGATTATACGCGTGAGCCACTGTGCACGGCCAATCTGTGTAATCTATCATCTCTCTCTCTCTCTTATTTATTTATTTAGAGACAGAGTTTTGCTCTTGTTACCCAGGCTGGAGTGCAGTGGCATGATGTCAACTCACTGCAACCTCCGCCTCCGGGTTCAAGCCATTCTCCTGCTTCAGCCTCCTGAGTAGCTGGGATTACAGGCACCAGCAACCAAGCCCGGCTAATTTTTCTAGTTTTAGTAGAGATGGGGTTTCACCATGCTGGCCAGGCTGGTCTTGAACTCCTGACCTCAGGTGATCCACCCGCCTCGGCCTCCCAAAGTGCTGGGATTATAGGCGTGAGCCAACGCACCCGGCCTGATTTTGTATTTTTAGTAGAGATGGGGTTTCACCACGCTGGCCAGGCTGGTCTTGAACTCCTGACCTCAGTTGATCCACCCACCTCAGCCTCCCAAAGTGAGATTCCAGGCGTGAGCCACCGTGCCTGACCTATGCTGTCTTTTCATTTGCATTTTTTTTTTTTGAGATGGAATTTCGCTCTTGTTGCCCAGGCTGGAGTGCAGTGGCGCAATCTCGGCTCACTGCAACCTCCGCCTCCCGGGTTCAAGCGGTTCTCCTGCCTCAGCCTCCCAACTAGCTGGGATGACAGGCATGCACCACCATGCCCGGCTAATTTTGTATTTTTAGTAGACACAGGGTTTCAACATGTTGACCTGGCCTGGATACCACTTTTAATTTTACCTTGCTCTGAATAGTTTCGTATTCCTCTGACTATGTGGAAGCTTTGTTCTGGGATTCTGTGAAGTCACTTGGAGGTAGTTTGAACCCTTCAGGTCTTGGTTTCATTCTGTTGGAATGAAGAGTAATGTTTAATTCGGGATTAATTTGTCCAAGCTACTGAGGAAAGGTCCTCCTCACTATCCTACCTAACGCCCCATGAACTATGGAAGTTTTCCAATCTAGAAGGTCAGAACAGGCACCTTTTGAACATTGTGTGAACGCTGGTCACTATTCCCTGTTTCCATGTGTCATTTCTGTTGGTTCTTTCCCTCACCTTGAATAATTTCCTCATAGACACATGTCAATCAGTTCTCAGCCCAACGCTCTCTAGGTGGACCTTCTGCAGAAGGTCTCTATGCTTCTTTCTCCACGTGGATCTCTCATATCTGCTACTCTGTCCTGTGAACTCTTCCTGCCTTGGTCTCCCCAGACTCTCAGCTCCACCTTCTCAACACAAGAGGCCTTCCAGTTTCCATCTGTGTTGTGCCTCCTTGTACTGCCGCCTATAAAATCTCTCAGGCAGTAAGCCGGGAGATCATAGGGCTCACTGCATTACTTTTCCATCTCTCAGAGATCATTGTCTTTCATTGCTTCATGTCCAGGGTCTTGAACGCCATCATTTCATGTATTATGCCCAGTGGAAGATAATTCTGATCTCTGTTACTTCATGTTGGTCAAAACCAGAAGCCTGCATCTATCTATCTACCATTCTATCTTTCGGTCTATCTACCTACCTACCGACCTATCTACCAGTCATCTTATCTATCATATTCTCTATCTACCTATTATCCACCTACCTATCTACCTACCTAACAACCATCTTTCTACCATATTCTCTGTCTACCTATCCATCCATCCATCTACCTACCAATCATCTTTATCTATCACATTATCTATCTATCTATTCATCTATGTATCTATCTACCTACCTAGCTAACTATCTTCCAATCATCTTATCTGTCATATTCTCTTATCTACCTATTATCCATCTACCTATCTACCTACCTACCAATAATCTTTCTACCTATGTATCATATTCTCTATATCTATCTATCTACCTGTCTATCATATACCTACCTATCTATCTACCAGTCATCTTATCTATCCATCATATTATCTGTCTACCTATTTATCTATCCATCTATGTATCAATCATCTTTATCTATCATATTATCTATCATCTATCATGTATCAATATATCATCTGTCATCTATCTATCTATCTATCTATTTTCTCTCATCTTCTCTATCTTATTCTCTATCTACCTATCTCTCTACCTACCAATCAGCTTATCTATCAACCATATTATCTATTATCTATCTATCTATCTATCTATCTATCTATCTATCTATCTATATCTACCTATCTATCTATCATCTTCTCTATCATATTCTGTATCTACCTGTCTCTCTACCTACCAATCGGCTTATCTATCAACCATATTATCTATCTATCTATCTATCTATCTATCTACCTATCTATCATCTTCTCTATCGTATTCTGTATCTACCTGTCTCTCTACCTACCAATCAGCTTATCTATCAACCATATTCTCTATCTATCTATCTATCTATCTATCTATCTATCTATCTATCTATTATCTTATCTATCTATTATCTGTCTATCTACTTGTCTTCCTATCTATCTGAAACTCTATGTTTAAAACTCTGACTTCTAAAAACATTATAATAGACATTATTAATGAACACCTATTGTATGCCAGCCTTTGCTTATCTTATTTCTTTTTCTTCATGCCTGTTTTGAAAGATAGATATTATCCCTGTTTTGCAAAGTGATGTTCAGAAATAAATGGTTTGACAAGAGTCACATTAGCCAATAAACCCTTCAGCCTGGTTCAGTCTTGAAGCTTTCTGAGGATGAAGATAGCTTTACTACACCATTGGTTTACCAAGTAGGGATGATGTGAGGGTGTTTGTTTGTTTGTTTGTTTGAGACAGAGTCTCACTCTGTCACCGCAGGCTGGGGTGCAGTGGCGCGATCTCGGCTCATGCAACTTCCACCTCCCAGGTTCAAGCAATTCTCCTGCTTCAGCCTCCCAAGTAGCTGGGATTACAGGAACTCACCACCATGCCTGGCTAATTTTTGTGTTTTTAGTAGAGACGGGGTTTCACCACGTTGGCCAGGCTGGTCTCAAACTCCTGACCTTAGGTGATCCACCCACCTCGGCCTCCCAAATTGCTGGGATTACAGGCATGAGCCACCGCGCCCGACCGAGGGTTCGTGTTTAAAATGCAGATTCCCTTAGACGTTGGTGTGCCTGCACGTGCGTGTGACTATAAAGAAACAGAATGAGAAAAATTGGGGGAGGCGATAGAACTATTCTGTATCTCGAACATGATGCCATTTACATGTTTCAAAAATGTGTTCAAGTTCATCGAACTGCATATCATGAAAATCAATTTTATAGTATGATAATTTAAAATGTAATTTTTTTGAAAATGTAAAAAACAAAAAAAGCAGATTCCTAAATCCTATTCCAACCCTACTGAAACATAATCTCTCTTTTAAACAAGATGCCACATAACGGACACACTTCCCGAGAATGTAAAGTCTTATTCTGCATTCATCAGAAGGTGAATGTCTACAAGGCCTATTTTATTGAATTTTTTTTTTGTTACCTGCATGCATTCTTTCCATCTTCAGCGAAAGATGCAAAACGTATATTTGTAAATTAACTTTCCTGAAACTCCCCTCTCCCCACCATTGTTTCCCCGCTAAGTGCGATTTTTATCCACAGTGATCCTTCCATGGTTTTTGCCAAGTGGCAGCGTTTTGATCAAAAGGACGCCTTTCATGTCAAATAAATAAACCATCGCGTCTCACGGTTGTCCAGATTCCTGCTCGGTTTTTACAAAGCTTCTTTCAACTGGTGCCTGCAAGCCTTTCTCCGGGCATTTTCTTTCTACAACGGGTTGGATGTACACGGATCAAACTGAAAGGAGAGGGAGGAGGAAGCGTGCGTGATGAGCCAGGAAAGATGCTTTAGGTATGTGACTGTTAGAGCCCGGTGACATGAGGTGATACAGAGTCTGTGACTGCACTGTGCCAACGCCCTCGTGAAAATCAATATTCCTGTAACTGATTCTGCAACTTGGAATGACGTGTTTTCAATTAAGGCACTGTTGACATTGGGGGCCAGGTAATTCTCCGTGGTGGGAGCTGTCCTATATACTGTAGGATACTCAGCAGCGTCCCTGAGCTCTACCCACTAGAAGCTAGTAGTATCTGTCACCTCCTCCCTGGTCGTGATAACCAGAAATGTCTTCAGTCATTGCACAGTGTCCCCCATGGGGCAGAATTCCGACTCAAATTATTATTATTATTATTTTTGAGGCAGAGTCTTGCTCTGTCACCCAGGCTGGAGTGCAGTGGCACAATCTCTGCTCACTGCAACCTCCGCCTCCCAGGTTCATGACATTCTCCTGCCTCAGCCTCCTGAGTAGCTGGGTTTACAGGCGCCTGCCACCATGCCCAGCTAATTTTTTGTATTTTTAGAAGAGACAGGGTTTCACCCTGTTAACCAGGGTGGTCTCGATCTCCTGACCTCGTGATCTGCCCACCTCAGCCTCCCAAAGTGCTGGGATTACAGGCGTGAGTCACCACGCTCGGCCTCGGACTCAAATTTTTCTCCACTCTTCTCATGTCCAGAGAAGACAGCAAAGGCATAATTTGTATTAACTTTGAGATTACCAATAAATTTTGGTGAATAAGCAAATTTGCAAATACAGAGTCTGTCCACAATGAGGAAGTACTGTACCCATGAAGACTACAGGGCCCTAAAAAATTGCTATGCAATGGGATCCCTAATATTGCTCTCTCAGGTGAGTAGGAGCTGCCCCCATTGTGGTCTGAATGTAGGGCTCTTTCCCAAATTCTTATGTTGAACTCTTCATCCCCAAGATGATGACGTTAAGAAGTGGGGCCTTTGGGGGGTGATGAGGTCATGAGAGCGGAGCCTTCTGAATGGGATTAGTGCCCTTATAAAAGGGATCCTAGAGAGCTCACTTGTCCCTTCCACCGTGTGAGGACACACCAAGAAGTCGCCGTCTATGAAACAGGATAGGTAGGTGGGTGGATGGATGAGTGAATGGATGGATGGAAGAGTGGACAAATGGATGGATGATGGATGGGTGAGTGGGTGGATTAATTGTTGTATAGATGGATAGATGGTTGGATGGATAGACGGATGAGCAGATGAATGGATGGATGAATGGATGAGTGGATGGGTGGATGGAAGAGTGGACAGATGGATGGGTGAGTGGGTGGATTAATGGTTACATAGATGGCTGGATGGGCTGACGGATGCATGATGGATAAGCAGATGAGTGGATGGATGAATGAATGGGTGAATGGATGGATGGGTGGGTGGGTGGATGGAAGAGTGGACAGATGGATGGGTGAGTGGGTGGACTAAAGGTTGTATAGATGGCTAGATGGACAGATGGATGAGCAGATGAGTGGATGGATGAATGGATGGATGAATGGATGGAGGGATGGATGGATGGATAGATGGATGGAAGTGTGGACAGACGGATGGGTGAGTGGGTGGATTAATGATTGTATAGATGGCTGGATGGGTAGATGGATGCATGATGGATGAGTAGATGAATAGACGGATGAATGGATGGGTGGATGGATGGATGGAAGAGTGGACAGATGGATGAGTGAGTGGGTAGATTAATGGTTGTATAGATGGTTGGATGGATAGATGGATGCATGATGGATGAGCAGATGCGTGGATGGATGGAATGATGGGTGGATGGGTGTATGCATGGATGGATAGATGGATAGCTGGATGAGTGGATGGATGGATGGGTGGATTAATGGTTGTATAGATGGCTGGATGGGTAGATGGATGTATGATGGATAAGCAGATGACTGGATGGATGGATGGGTGGATGGGTGTATGGATGGATGGATGGGTGGATGGATAGCTGGATGGGTGGATGGATGGGTGAATTAATGGATGATGGATGATGGATGAGTGAATGGGTAGATGGGTGGGTGGATAGATGATAAATGGGAATGGGTGGATGGATGGGTGGTAGATAGATTGATGAGTGGATAGATGGATACATGATAGATGGGTGGATGGGTGGATCAATGGGCAGATAGATGGATGAGTGGATAGGTGTATAGATGGGTGTAGGGGTAGAGGAATGGATTGATGATGGATGGGATGATGGATGGATAATGAATGAGTGGATGGGTGGATGGATGAATGGGTGAATGAGTGGATGGATGGGTGGATGAGTGGATCAATGGGCAGGTGGATGAGTGGATGAAAGGTTAGATGAGTGGATGGATGGGTGTATGAGTAGATAGATGGATGAATGATGAATGATTGGATAGATGGATGGGTGGGTGGATGCATGGATGGATGGATGGGTATATGAGTAGATGGATGGATGGTGGATGGATAAATGGATGGATGATGGATGAGTTAATGGGTGGATAGATGGATGGACAGATGGGTGGATGCATGGATGGATGGGTGGATGGATGGATGGGTGGGTAGGTGGATGGATGGATAGGTGGGTAGGTGAATGAGTGGATGGCTGGGTGGATAAATGAGTGGATGGATGAATGGGTGGACAGATAAGTGGATGGGTCGATTAGTAAATGGATGTATGGATGGACGGATGTGTTTGTGAATGGAAAGATGGATGAATGGATAAGTAGGTGGGTGGATGGTTGTATGAATGAATAGGTGGATGCATAGGTGAATGGATGAATGAACAGGTGGATGGGTATGTGGATGAACGAGAGATAGATGAGTAGATAAGTCCAGACATGATTTTTACTCTATGTGTTCCTGTTTACTTTGCCTTTGCCTCGTCGTCTTCCAAGACAATATATTGGTTTGCAGATATTCAGGAAATTATTTTAGAAATGTGCTTTGGGAACAACATAGACACACTCTGAATAAAGGCAGAGTCCTCCTAAAGAAGACTCATGTCTTTTTTTTTATTATTATACTTTAAGTTTTAGGGTACATGTGCACAACGTGCAGGTTCGTTACATATGTATACATGTGCCATGTTGGTGTGCTGCACCCATTAACTCATCATTTAACATTAGGTATCTCTCCTAATGCTATCCCTCCCCCATCCCCACACCCCACAACAGGCCCTGGTGTGTGATGTTCCCCACGCTGTGTCCATGTGTTCTCATTGTTCATTTCCCACCTATGAGTGAGAAAATGCGGTGTTTGGTTTTTAGTCCTTGTGATAGTTTGCTGAGAATGATGGTTTCCAGCTTCATCCATTTCCCTACAAAGGACATAAAATCATCATTTTTTATGGCTGCATAGTATTCCATGGTGTATATGTGCCACATTTTCTTTATCCAGTTTATCATTGTTGGACATTCGGGTTGGTTCCAAGTCTTTGCTATTGTGAATAGTGCCTCAATAAACATACGTGTGCATGTGTCTTTATAGCAGCATGATTTATACTCCTTTGGGTATATATCCAGTAATGGGATGGCTGGGTCAAATGGTATTTCTAGTTCTAGATCCCTGAGGAATCGCCACACTGACTTCCGCAATGGTTGAACTAGTTTACAGTCCCAGGAAGACTCATTTCTTATCCACTCCCCCGAGATAACTGCCATTGTCACTTAATACCCTTCCAGAACATTTTCCACACATTTAGACACATTTGGACCTGTTGTTGCATGTGTGTGACTTGTGAAAACATTCATAGAGTCACGTTGTATTGTTGCTTGTAGATTCCCCAAGTTACTTTTCTCACTCAACAACCTGTGTTGGAGATATTCCCCACCAGCACACAGAGGTCCACTTTCTCATTTTATCTGTTCGATGTGATCCACAGTATGGATCCATCAAGTCCCCCGTTGGGCGAACAATTAGAGTCTGCCCGTTTTTCTGCTATCAGAGTCATTGCTGCAACAAGCATGCTTCCCCATGCTACGTCGTGCCTGAGTATGAGAGTTTCTCCAGGGTAGACACTTAGAAGTGGGATTGCCTGGTCAGAAGAAAACCTGCACTTAATTGTCGTGGACAGCACTGACTTTCCCTCCAATCTGTGGTTCCAATTTCCCATCCCACATAAGGAGATAATTGCCTTACATCCTGCAACCACTTGCCACGATCACACTTTGCAATGTTTTTGCTATTATAAGCAATTGAGCAATGACACGCTCTTTTCTTTTTAACTTGTAAAAATTTATTATAGAAAGGAAAAGGCAGAGAACAGCCATAGAAAGGACAAATAATGGCATGTGTTACTAGTCATTCCTGTTAGGAAATTAACAGGGGAAACAGTGTAGGAAATGCTACTTGTGATGATAGTACTGCAATGTATTGAATACTTACCATGTGCAATGAGACAGTCTTGTCTCTGCTGCCTCATAAGACTCTCTCAGCTGCCTGCACTCCCTATAGTGCTGCTAACATTGTGTTTTACACAGCCATATACAGATATAAAAAATATATAATATATATTTTATAGATAATATAATTATATATAACTATATAAAATTACATAATATATAATAAATTATATATTATAGATAATATATAATAATTATAAATATAGATAATATATAATAATTATAAATATTATAGATAATATATAATAATTACATATTATAGATAATATACAATAATTACATATTATAGCTAATATATAATAATTACATATTATAGATAATATACAATAATTACATATTATAGCTAATATATAATAATTACATATTATAGATAATATGTAATAATTATAAATATTATAGATAATATATAATTACATATTATAGATAATATATAATAATTATAAATATTATAGATAATATATAATAATTACATATTATAGATAATATACAATAATTACATATTATAGATAATATATAATAATTACATATTATAGATAATATATAATAATTATAAATATTATAGATAATATATAATAATTACATATTATAGATAATATATAATAATTATATTATAGATAATATATAATAATTACATATTATAGATAATATATAATAATTATATTATAGATAATATATGATAATTATATATTATAGATAATATATGAAAATAATTATATATTATAGATAATATATGATAATTATATATTATAGATAATATATGATAATTATATATTATAGATAATATATGATAATTATATATTATAGATAATATATAATTACATACAATATATATTTTATATAAAATATATAATTACATATATTTTATATAAATATATAATTACATATATTTTATATAATATATAATTACATATATTATATAAAATATATAATTACATATAATATATCTTTTATATAAAATATATATTATATATAACATATAATTATAATATATTATATAACTATATCTTTTATAATATAAAATATTATATATAATATATAATATATAATTATATATTATACATGCTTATAAAATATAATATATAGTATATTATGTTATCAAATATATAATATATTATATGATATATAATATAATATATAATTATATATTATATATGCTTACAAAATATATTATAAAATATAATATATAGCATATTTTATATTATCAAATATATTATATAATATATAATATCATATATTATCATCTATATCATATATATCAATTACATATATCATATATAAAATATAATATATAATATCTATTGTATAATATAATATATGATATAATGTATTATATCATGTATAATATATCATGTATAATATATTATATTATATCATGTATAATATAATATATCATGTAATAATATAATATATTATATCATGTATAATATAATATATTATATCATGTATAATATAATACACATTATATATTATATCATGTATAATATAATACACATTATATATTATATCATGTATTATATAATACACATTATATATTATATCATGTATTATATAATACACATTATATATTATATCATGTATTATATAATATATAGTATATTGTATCGTGTATTATATAATATATAGTATATTGTATCGTGTATTATATAATATATAGTATATTGTATCGTGTATTATATAATATATAGTATATTGTATCGTGTATTATATAATATATAGTATATTGTATCGTGTATTATATAATACATAGTATATTGTATCGTGTATTATATAATACATAGTATATTATATCGTGTATTATATAATATATAGTATATTATATCGTGTATTATATAATATATAGTATATTATATCGTGTATTATATAATATATAGTATATTATATCGTGTATTATATAATATATAGTATATTATATCGTGTATTATATAATATATAGTATATTATATCGTGTATTATATAATATATAGTATATTATATCGTGTATTATATAATATATAGTATATTATATCGTGTATTATATAATATATGATATAATATATAATTATATAAAAATATATAATTATATATTATATATAAAACGATGTATACATAAAATATATATATACACACTATATATATTTTTTGAGATGGAGGCTTGCTCCCATCACAGAGGCTGGAGTGCAGTGGCGTGATCTTGGCTCACTGCAACCTCTGCCTCCTGGGTTCAAGCGATTCTCCTGCCTCAGCCTCCTGAGTAGCTGGGATTACTGGCATGCACCACCACGCCCGGCTAATTTTTGTATTTTTAGTAGAGATGGGGTTTCTCCATGTTGTTCAGGCTGGTCTCAAACTCCCGACCTCAGGTCATCCACCCGCCTTGGCCTCCCAAAGTGCTGGGATTACAGGCTTGAGCCACTGTGCCTGGCTGTTTTTTTTCTGTTTTGTTTTGTTTTGTTTTGTTTGTTTGTTTTTTGAGACAGAGTCTCACTCTGTTGCCGAGGCTGGAGTGCAGTGGCACTGTGTCAGCTCACTGCAACCTCCATATCCTGGGTTCAAGCAATTCTCCTGCCTCAGCCTCCCGAGTAGCTGGGATGACAGGCGTCCACCACCACGCCCGGCTAGTTTTTATATTTTTAGTAGAGACCGGGTTTCACTATGTTGGCCAGGCTGGTCTTGAACTCCTGACCTCAAGTGATCCACCTTTCTTGGCCTCCCAAAGTGCTGGGATGACAGGCATGAGCCACTGTGCCCGGCCGCGAACTGCTGTTAAGACACGGTGAGAATGAGCTGGCTCTGGAAAATCAAGGCAGGAGGATCACTTGAGTCCAGGAGCTCAAGACCAGCCTGGGCAACACAGCAAGACCCCTATCTCTCTCTAAAAAAAAAAAAAAATTAGCAAGCATGGTGGTGAATGCCTGTGGTTTCATCAGTGAGGTGTGATCATGCCGCTGTACTCGAGCCCGAGGAACAGAGCAAGACCCTGTCTTGGGGGGGAAGAAACCCAAAAAAACAGAGAAAGAATAAACTATCATAATGCTTAATTTTGTGTGCATTTATTTAGCAGTGGGAACCAAATTGGCCTCCCCTAGGTAATTCAGCTATTCGTCTGAATTATGTGGGTTACTGTGTTACAGTCATCTCTTGTTTGATTTTAGTGAAACTGACTTAATTTTGCATACAAAAGCTGGTTCTAGGATCCTACCCCCCCAAGACAGGTTAGTTATGATGGGCAATCTCTCGACCTCATGCCTGACATCTTACATGTGTCGAGAAATCAAGAAGGTCGAAATATAAGTGGAGAGGTTGACGCTCCATTCTGGGGCAGCCCTGTAACTGTCCACCAATGTTGTGTCTGAGCTGGGCTGTGTCCACGAGCTTCCTGTTGTATTCTAGGGGCTCATAAGTTCAGAAAGATACTCAAATGGGGAGTTTTGTCCTGATGAAACCCAGGATGGAATACAGGACAAAAAAATACATTAATATTTGAGTCTTCTTAAGAAAGTCTAGGCCGGGCGCGGTGGCTCACGCCTGTAACCCCAGCACTTTGGGAGGCCGAGGATGGAGGATCGCCTGAGGTCAGGTGTTCGAGACCAGCCTGGCCAACATGGTGAAACCCTCTTTCTACTAAGGATACGAAAATTAGCCAGGAGTTAGGGCGGGTTCCTGTCATCCCAGCTACTCGGGAGGCTGAGGCAGGAGAATTGCTTGAATCCTGGGAGGCGGAGGTTGCAGTGAGCTGAGATTGTGCCACTGCACTCCAGCCTGGATGATGACAAACTCTGTCTCAAAACAAAACAAAACAAAAAGTGGAAACTGGAAACAGCTTTTATGCTCTTTTATTTCAATAGTTTACAGAACCCAGGATGGTATCCAATGAGAGCTTGCATTCAGGCATGGGGAAGACACCGTTGAGAAGAATGAAAATGATTACAATCATGCAGAAAAAGAAACTTGGGCACCCAAAACACACCCAGGAAAATGAGGGAAGGGAAAGTATTTGAATTTGACTAGCAATGACAAGCCGCAGATACATGAGCTCAGAGGACTGTGGCTGGACAGACATCAAGGGTGGACAGAACCCAGCCTGTCAGGACTGACACCCTAGGGTTGTCCGTCTACAAATCGGCTCCTGATTGGTCTACCCGGGACTGTGGTCCACGGTCATTGAAAAATATGTCATGGAGGCTCCACGTACACTCAAGCTGTGGGCAGACAGTTCCATGATGGGACTGCACCTCGTATCAGAAAGGGCCTCCCATCCTCCCCTTCTTTAATTCCACCCTCCTGACGTCCGACTACTTCACTCCATACAACCACATGTCCTCAAGACAATGGGCAACGGATGCCGTTTGGTTCAGTGGAGGCAAGAAACATGATTTATGAATGTTGTTTACGTTTTAACAATTTAAATTTATGTTTATTATATTAAATATAATTTTATATTTTTATAATGAATATAAAAATATTTATTATATTTTAAATAGTTTAAAAATATTATGAAATTATTTTAATTTTATAAATATATTAAACGTATTTGTATTTTTATAAAATATATAAAATTATATATTTATAATTTTTAAAATATAAAATTATTTTAATTTTATAAATATATTTATAGTTTTTATAAATATATTAATAAACATATTTCTATTTTATAAAATATATAAAATTATATATTTATAATTTTATAATATATCTAATAAATATATTATAATATCATATAACATATTATATATCATAATATATAGCTAATAAATATAATATATAATATATACTAAAATATTTAATAAAGATGTTTTTAAATATAAAATACATATTATTTATTTATAGAAATACATATTTTATATATTTATAATTAATATATAAAATATTGGTATAAAATAATTTATTAAAATAATTTAAATTTTCATAATTTAAATTTATATTTATTATATTAAATGTAATAACTTCATATTTTTATAATTAATATAAAATATTTATTAAATAATAATTTATTCTAAAAGCGCTCAGAATTTCAAAGCTAATATTTGACTTTTTAAAAAATTAAGTGCTAAGTTTGTATAAAAATTTTAATATGACATAAAATTTTTATTTCTATAATTAATATAAAAATACTTATTGTATTTTTAATAAATAATTTTGAAAATATTAATTGTATTTTTAATATTTTGAAAATATTACAAAAATATTTTAATTTTATAATATATTAACAAATATGTTAAATATATTTATAATTTTATAAATATATTATAATAAATATATTAAATATATTATAAATATAAATATATAATAAAATAAATATGTTAAAATATAAATATATAACACATATATTAAAATATTAGAAAATATATTATAATTGTATTTTAAAGATTTTATATGTTTATAATTAATATATAAAATATTTATTAAAATAATTTATTATAATTATTTAATTTTAATAATTTAAAATTAAATTTATTATATTAAATATAATAATTTTATATTTTTACAATTAATATGAAAATATTTATTAAGTAATAATTTATTCTGACAGCTCTCAGAATTTCAAAGCTAATACTTGACTTGTTTCTTTAAAAAAACTAAACTATTTGACTTGCTTCTTAAAAGAAAAACAAGCACTAAGAGTTTGTATAAAAAATCTTAATATGACATAAAAATGAATGCCAGAGAGTCCATACATCAGAATTCCAGATAAGCTCTTTTTTTGGCATGTGGGATTTTTATTCATAAATTTGTTTAACTCTTTATACACCTCATCATACGTTTTCGTGTTGAGGATTTCCTTTGACGTTCTCATTGGCTGTTGGAGCAAGATAAGATCCCATTTGGGGCTGTCATGCATGAGCCCCTTTGCTGAGGATGTGCAGAATGGGGTGTCTGAGGTCTACCTGCGTGGAACCAGGTGCACCTGCGGATCTTGCTAACACGCGCGGGAATTTTGCACGTTCACCAACAGGCAAATGAATCCTCGCGTCTTTAAGGGTCTGCGGCAGTTAATAGATGATCCACCGTGTCATGTCACAGCCCAGATGAGTGACAAGCCAGTGCCGACAGAGAGTGACATGTGTCTGTCACTTTGCTGACAGCCCTGGCACATTCTGCAAAATGCCTCAGCTCCTGCTGCCTAATTTTCTGCTGTGAGAGCCAGGTGGCTTCCTTTGGTCTCCACAGGAAACAAAATGTCTCAGAAATCTTTCCCCAAAGCACAGGCTTCATACATTCATGGGGTCTCACCATGTTGGGAGAACGGTGGCAGAATCAGAAAGGTGACGGGGGCTAGCTGGGAACACCTGTGTGCGGATTCTTCAGAATCTGTAACAGCCTGGTTTGCAGACTCAAGGGGACTGTGGGCACTGGGAGATTCCTGAAGGCAGGTGGGTGGTTGGAAGGATGTGAAAAGATTCAGTTGGATCCCAGGGGTGGTGGGTCAAAGGCATTTCCTGTGTTCACAGCTGGTTGCCACCGACGCCTGTTGCCACGGATGCCTGGTGTACAGGGCGTGGTTCTTTTCTCAGGTGAATACCCAACAGTCAAGTTATCCCAGTCCATCTGGATCACCTGCAAACAGATGCACCATTCATGCCCCACCTCAGGGCTTGTTCTTTTCTTCAGCACACTCCTGGCTTACACCTGTGTGCTCAGATGCAGAGGTAAAGCATTTTAAGGACACCTCCAGGAATCTGTCCGGTGGCAATGACCCATTCGGGCCCAAGAAAGTGTAAGAGTGATGCCTTCTTGCTCTGCTCTCATCTGGAAGCGCCTCTCTCCCTTGCCATGGAGAGGCTGGCCATGTAATGCTCACTGTGGCTCTTTCAGATACATCATCTCCCCATTTTAAAGATGAAGAAGAGTCAGTCTCATTCCTCAGCACCAGTAGTAACGGGGGGAGTTGGGCTGACTCCAAACCTGCTCCCAAAGATAGCACTAACAAATGCTGGTAAGGTGGTGGTCACAAAGAGTGTCATCAACTCCAGATAGCAACCGGGTCTCCTTACCAGAAAACCTAACAGGCGTTGGTTTGATAGATGCATCATTGTGTATGTCTCTATCCATCTATGCATTCTCCATCTATCCATCTATCATCTCTCCATTCACCTACTCATCTATCAATCTATCCATTCATCTATCCATTCTTTATATCTATTTCTCTATCTATCCATCTATTTATTTATCCATCATCCGTCTGTCATCTATTTATATTCTGTCATCTCTCTTTCAATCTTCCATCTACCCTATCTATCTACTACCTAAAGCTATCTGTATTCTATCTATCCAAACATCATCTGACTATCATCTACCTACCTACATCTATCATCTCTCTAGCTCTGTCTATATATCTATCTATATCATCTCTATATCAGTCATCTATTCCTCTATCTATTATCTATCTATCTATCATCTATCATCTATCTACCATCTATCTATCAATACATCTATGTATCAATCATCTATCTCTCAATCAGTACATCTGTCAATGTATCAATCATCTATCTATATCAGTACATCTGTAAGTATCAATCATCTATCATGTATCTATCTATACATCTGTATATCTATCTATCTCAGTACATCTGTCTACGTATCAATCATCTGATTGAAGAAAAGGCTCGGAGACGGAGTCTATGTCACCAGCATAGGAAAAGCAGGATGTGGCTTCCATTCCTTGAAACCTCTGTCTTCCTCCTGATTTACAAGTCCTGTCTGAGATTCTCCTCTGGTGTTTATTTGCTGTTTTTCTTGTGAAGCCAGATTTCCAAGCATATTTTCACATTGGTTTTGAAGGTCCTGATGGAAAACATGTGCCTGGAGATAAATGTGCTTTAACCAAATGTGTGTCTTCTGGAACATTCTCTGGATAGCTCTAGCCAGTGAGGAGTAAGGACAGCTGCTTCCTTTGGACCCTACACTGACCATTGTTTGTCTCTACCTGCACAACCTTTATCTCTCCTCCAGTTTAAGCAACCAGTTTCCTGCAGGTGAACATCCTGGCACCATAATTGGCTCAAAGATGGGCATAGGACTCAGTGCAAGCCCTGAGTTTGTGCAGAAACTGAGCAGTGTAACAGCCTGGGAGGAAGTCCTGGAGGGACTTGAGCAAGATGACTTATCAGAGACAGAATCTGAGGAGAAGGCTCAGAACTTACCTCTAATCTCTTGCATGTTGAACCCAACAACTCAAATGAAAACCAGAGCTCATGGTTGCTGTTGAGACAGTCCACACTTTCCAGCCTCCTGAAGCAGAGAGTGGAGAAGAATGAAGAGGAACTGGGGAGGTAGAGGCTCTCTTGGGTTTATTGTAATACTTGAGTGAGTTAGCCCTTTTGAACAAACTTGACATTGAGCAGGTGTTGATTACAAATGAGATGTTTCCTGTGTTACTCATGGACACCCAGAAGAGGCAGGGTATTAGAAAGGGTATTAGCTTCCACTGGCTGCTGTAACGAAAATGATGACAGACTTCATCTTAGTTTATTTTGTACTTCTATAAAAGAGTGCCACTGATTAGGTAATTTATAAACAATGGGAGTTCATTGGTCTCATGGTTCCGAGGGCTGGAAAGTCTGAGGTTGAGGTGCTATGTCTGGTGAGGATCTTTTTGCTGTGTCATCCATTGTGAACTATCTCTTCGAGGTACTTCATATCCCCACTTCAGAGATGGAGAAACTGAGGTTGAAGAATGGTCAGTCTTATTGCTCAGCCCCAGTGATGGGTGGAGTTGGGTTGACTTCAAACCTACTCTGAAATATAACATTAAGAAATGCTGGCAATATGGCGGTCACCAATAGTGTTCATCAACTCCAGAGGGCAAGGAGGTCTCGTAACTAGAAAACCTCACAGCTATTGCTGAAGGAAGGGCACAGAGTTGAATTCAACATGGTTGACTCCTTGAAACCTCCATCTTCCCTCTGACGTACAGCAAGTCCTGCCTGAGATTCTCCTCTGGTGATTGTTTGCTGTTTTTCAACTGGACCAGCTCCAGAGCCCAAGCTAACTGGGGTAATGACGAGGGGAGGGTATGATTGATAGATAGATAGATAAATGATAGAGATAGATAGATGGGTAGATAGATATATAGATATACAGATGATAGATGGATAGATTGATAGAGGGGTAGATAGATATATAGATAGATGATAGATGGATAGAGAGATTGATAGATGGGTAGACAGATATATAGGTAGATGATAGATGGATAGATTGATAGAAGGGTAGATATATAGATAGATGGGTAGATAGACAAATGATAGATGAATAGATAAATGATATATGATGGACAGATACATAGATGATAGATGGATAAATAGATAAATGATAGATGAATAGATAAAAGATAGATGGATAGATAAATGACAGATGGATAGATAGATAAATAATAGATGAATAGATAAAAGATAGACGATGGACAGATACCTAGATGATAGATGGACAAATAGATAAATGATAGATGAATAGATAAATGATAGAAAGATAGATAAATGACAGATGGATAGATAGATAAATGTAGATGAATAGATAAAAGACACATTGATAGATAAATGATGGATAGACACATAAACAATAGATGGATGGATAGATAGATAGATGGGTATTTAGATGGATAGATAGATAAATAGATAAGTAATACATGAATAGATAAATGACAGATGGATAGATAGATAGATAAATGATAGATGAATAGATAAAAGATAGATGATGGACAGATAGATGATAGATGGATAAATAGATAAATGATAGATGAATAGATAAATGATAGCTGGGTAGATAGATAAATGACAGATGGATAGACAGATTAATGATAGATGAATAATAAAAGATAGACTGATAAATGATGGAGAGATACATAAGCAATAGGTGGATAGATAGATAAATGGTAGATGGGTATTTAGATAGATAAATAGATAAGTAACAGATGAATAGATAACTGGTAGATGGACAGATACATGCTAGATTTCCAAGCATATTTTCACATTTTCACCTTGGTTTCATAGGTCCTGATATAAAACATATGCCTGGAGATCAATGTGCTTCGAATTAGGATTTTTTTTTCTTTTTTCTTTTTTTGCCCCAGAAGGTTAGGAGAGTCCCCATAGAACGTGGGAGGGGACCTGTTTAGTGTTCAGAGCTTGCTGGAGAGGCTCCAGCATGACTCGTTGCTGGATGCTAAACAGGTGGTCCCCCGAGAAAGACCTGGGTCTGGAGGTGAGGGTTGCAGGGTTTATATGCCAGCAACAGAACAGGCGCTTCCTTGGAGAAGTATGTGTGAACCGGTCGCCCTCCCCACCTAAAGGTGTTCTGGGTTTGAGGAGGTTGTCAGTGGTGACCGTATGACCCCAAAAGTCAAACAGAATAATGCGCTTTATCCTTCCTTCTGCTTTAGGGAGGAGAATGTTTGCAGCAGTTCTTGTTAATTCATGAAGCATATGACTAATTGCATCAAGGATGAAACAAGGTAGGTAGGTAGGTAGACAGTTAAGTATGCACATGCATATGTACATAGATGGCAGATAGATGGGTAATAGATCAATGGCAGATAGATAAATAGATGCTGGATAGAGAGAGAGATAGACGATGAATAGAGAGATAGATGATGGATAGAGAGAGAGGGATACATAGATAGATGATTGATTGATTGATTGATTGATTGATGAGATAGATACATGGATAAAAGAGCCATACACATTACAGTGTGTATACATGCAGAGATAGACGATAGACATAGGTAGTATGTAGATAGATAGGCAGATAGATGATAGATGATGGATAGACAGGAGATAGAGAGATAAATGCTAGATAGAGAGACAAAGAGATAGAGATAGATAACGGATAGATAGATGAGGTACATAGACGTAGATAAATAGATAGCTAATAGGTAGATAGATAATAGATGATTGATGGATAATAGATAGATAGGTAGATAAACAGATCATAGGTAGGTAGATAATAGATGATTGATAGATAATAGATAGATGATAGATTAAATAGGTAGATGATAGATGATAGGTAGATAATAGGTAGATGATAGATAGCTAGATAGATGATAGATAGATAGGCAGATAGATAGATGGTAGACAGATAGATGATAGACAGATAGATGATAGATAGATATATAGACAGATATATAGATAGCTAGATAGATGATAGATAGCTAGATAGCTAGATAGATGATAGATAGATAGGCAAATAGCTAGATGATAGACAGATGATAGATAGATATATAGACAGATATATAGATAGATAGCTAGATAGATGATAGATAGATAGATAGATGATAGATATATAGACAGATATATAGATAGATAGCTAGATAGATGATAGATAGATAGATGATAGACAGAGAATAGATAGATATATAGACAGATATATAGATAGATAGCTAGATAGATGATAGGTAGATAGATAGATGATAGATAGATGATAGATAGATATATAGACATATATAGATAGCTAGATAGATGATAGATAGATAGATAGATAGATAGATAGATAGATAGATAGATAGACAGATAGATAGAATATCAATTTGTTCTTGCATTGCTATAAAGCAATACCTGAGCCTGGGTAATTTATAAAGAAAAGAGGTTGAATTGGCTCATGGTTCTGCAGGCTGTACAAGAAGCCCAGTGGCTTGGGCTTCTGAGGAGGCCTCAGGAAACTTATAGGCAAAGGGGAAACAGGTACGTCTTACATTGCTGGAGTAAGAGGAGAGGCGGGGGAGGTGCCACACACTTGTAATCAACCAGATCGCGTGAGAACTCTAGCAGAAGAACAGCGCCAAAGGGATGGTCCTAAACCACTCTTGAGGGGCCCACCCCCACGATCCAATCACCTCTCCCCAGGCCTAAACCACTCCTGAGGGGCCCACCCCCACGATCCAATCACCTCTCACCAGGCCCCACCTCCAACATTGGGGATTACAATTCAGCATGCGATTTGGGCAGGGACACAGATCCAAACCCTATTAGATAGATAGATTAATGATAGATGGATAGATAGATAGATGATTGATGGATACATAGATAAATGATAGATGGATAGATAAATGATAGAGGGATAAATAGATGATAGATGGATAGATAGATGATTGATGGATAGATGGATAAATGATAGATGGATAGATAATGATTGATGGATATATAGATAATGATTGATGGATAGATAAATGATGGATAGATAAATGATAGATGGATAAATAGATGATAGATGGATAGATAGATGATTGATGGATAGATGGATAAATGATAGATGGATAAATAGATGATAGATGGATAGATAGATGATAGATGGATAGATGGATAAATGATAGATGGATAGATAATGATTGATGGATATATAGATAATGATTGATGGATAGATAGATAAATGGTAGATGGATAGATAAATGATAGATGGATAAATAGATGATAGACGGATAGATAGATGATTGATGGATAGATGGATAAATGATAGATGGATAGATAATGATTGATGGATATATAGATAATGATTGATGGATAGATAGATAAATGGTAGATGGATAGATAAATGATAGATGGATAAATAGATGATAGACGGATAGATAGATGATTGATGGATAGATGGATAAATGATAGATGGATAGATAATGAATGATGGATAGATAAATGATAGATGGATAGATAAATGATAGATGGATAAATAGATGATAGATGGATAGATAGATAATTGATGGATAGATGGATAAATGATACATGGATAGATAATGATTGACGGATAGATAGATAATGATTGGTGGATAGATAAATGATAGATGGATAGATAGATGATTGATGGATAGATAGATAAATGATAGATGGATAGATAGATGGGTAGATAGATATATAAATGATAGGTAGATAAATGATAGATGAACATATAAATGATTGATAGATGGATAGATAAATGATAGATGAATAGATAAATGATGGATAGACACATAATAGATGGATAGAAAGATAGATAAATGATAGATGGGTATTTAGATGGATAGATAGATAAATAGATAAATAATAGATGGACAGATAACTGATAGTTGGGCAGATAGATAAATGATCGATGGATAGATAAAAGATAGATAAATAAATAATAGATAGATCAATAAATAGTAAATGAATAGATGAATGACAGATGGGTAGATAGATGGATAGATAAATGATGGATAGATAGATAGATAATAGATGACAGATAGGTGAGAGAGAAATGGGTGACGGAAGGGAGAGAAAGAAGGAGAGAGATTTGGGGTCATTAAATAGCAGAGGAAAAGCATGTACACAAAACTTTTGCAGCATGTGCAATGGAATATATATATATGTTTATATATATATATGTTTATATATATATATAAATACACACACACAGAGAGAGACAGAGAGAGAGACAGAGTCATCAGAGAGTCATCAGACAGCAGAGAGGAAACCCACCCAGCACTGAGGTCATACAGCAAGCTGGAAAGAGACAATGAGTAATGTTTGACATGAGAGGTCATTTTCTGCACGTCTGGAATCGAGGCATTGATTTTTCATACACATTATGGCTATTGGCTAGAGATGATCATTGAACCTGTCTGAAGACAGATCTCTGGGTGGAGCAGACCAAGGCTGTTTGGTGACTTGCGTTATTTGAAGATTTCCCTGCATGCTACTGAAACCAGATGTAGTGAGCTATGATCATCCCACTGCACTCCACCCTGAGCGACAGAGCGAGACCCTGACTCTTATAAAAATAAAAATAAAAAATAAGGCCAGTGCAGTGGCTCAAGGCTGTCATCCCAGCACTTTGGGAGGCCGAGGCGGGTGGATCATGAGGTCAGGAGTTCGAGACCAGCCTGGCCAACAGGGTGAAACCCCGTCTCTACTAAAAGTACAAAAATTATCTGGGAGTGGTGGCAGGTGCCTGTAGTCCCAGCTACTCGGGAGGCTGAGGCAGGAGAATGGCGTGAACCTGGAGGCAGAGGTTGCAGTGAGCCGAGATGTTGCCCAGGCTGGGTGACAGAGCAAGACTCCATTTCAAAAAATAAATAAATTAATTAAATAAAAATAACATAACATAAAATAAAATGGGAACGTCTCCACTCCTCAGAGTGACTCATCCCACCGATCCCACACTGAAATTTAGTTTTTGACACACTGCAGAATGCAAGTAATAATTGCTCAAAATTTGACTGAAGGCGCAGCCCAGAAAGTGAGCTCAAGAAGGTAGGGATGTGGGTGTTTTTGTTCAGAAGTATCTCTCTCTCTCTCTCTCTTTTTTTTTTTTTTTTTTTTTTTGAGATGGAGTCTCGCTCTGTCACCCAGGCTGGAATGCAGTGGTGCGATCTCGGCTCACTGCAAGATCCGCCTCCTGGGTTCACACCATTCTCCTGCCTCAGCCTCCCAAGTAGCTGGGACTACAGGTGCCCGCCACCACGCCCGGCTAATTTTTTGTATTTTTAGTAGAGTTGGGGTTTCACCATGTTGGCCAGGCTGGTCTTGAACTCCTGACCTCAAGAACCTCCACCTCCCAGGTTCAAGTGAGTCTCCTGCCTCAGCCTCCCGAGTAGCTGGGACTACAGGCACCTGCCACTACACCCGGCTAATTTTTGTATTTTTAGTAGAGACGGGGTTTCACCACATTGGCCAGGCTGGTCTTGAACTCCTGACCTCGTGATCCGCCCACCTCGGCCTCCCAAAGTGCTGGGATTACAGGCATGAGGCCACCGCGCCCGGCCAAAAATGGATTTTAATTGCCTAAATTTCCTGCCTCTAGGAGAAAGTACCTTCTTGATCCTTCAGGAGCTAATTTCCACCCAAATCCTCGATGGCTTCAGGGCTCTGGCTGGCAGATGATGTTACAGTGAGGAAGCCGTCATCCTGTGTGGAGTATGGTTCACACTAGCATGCTGTGTCCTGGCCATCAAAGAGATACATGTGCCAGATAAAATATGTGTGTATAGATCACGCATAAACTTGCATTCTGGGTCTTCATAAAGAAGTTTAAAGAAGGCCGGGAGTGGTGGCTCACGCCTGTAATCCCAGCACTTTGGGGGGCCGAGGTGGGTGGATCACCTGAGGTCAGGAGTTCGAGACCAGCCTGACCAACACGGTGAAACCCCATCTCTACTAAAAATACAAAAATTAGCCAGGCGTGGTGGCAGGTGCCTGTAATCCCAGCACTTTGGGGGACCGAGGTGGGTGGATCATCTGAGGTCAGGAGTTCGAGACCAGCCTGACCAACATGGTGAAACCCCGTCTCTACTAAAGAAATACAAAAATTAGTCAGGCGTGGTGACAGGTGCCTGTCATCCCAGCTACTCGGGGGGCTGAGGCAGAATTGTTGAACCTGGGAGGCGGTGGTTGTAGAGAGCCGAGGTCACTGCACTCCAGCCTGGGCGATAGAGTGAGACTCAGTGTCAAAAAAAAAAAAAAAATTAAAGATAGAGGGAGAAAGAGGAGAAACAAGAGGAGGAGGAGGCTGGAGGAGGAGAAGGAGGAGGAAGAGAAAGAGGAGGAGGTGGAGGAGGAGGGAGACAGAGGAGGAGGAGGGAGTGGTTGGAGGAGGAGAAAGAGAAGGATGAGGAAGAGAAAAAGAAGGAGGGGGAGGAGGAAGAAGAGGAGGAGGGGAAGGAGGAGAAAGAGGAGGAGAGGGAGGAAGAGGAGGAGGCTGGAGGAGGAGAAAAAGGAGAAAGAGAAAAAGGAGGAGGGAGAGGAGGAGGGGAAGGAGGAGGGAGAGAAAGAGGAGGAGAGGGAGGAAGAGGAGGAGGCTGGAGGAGGAGGAAAAGGAGAAAGAGAAAAAGGAGGAGGGAGAGGAGGAGGGGAAGGGGGAGGGAGAGAAAGAGGAGGAGAGGGAGGAAGAGGAGGAGGCTGGAGGAGGAGGAAAAGGAGAAAGAGAAAAAGGAGGAGGGAGAGGAGGAGGGGAAGGGGGAGGGAGAGAAGTAGAAGCAGGAAGAGTGGGGAAGGAGGAGGTTGGAGAAGGTGGAGGAGGAAGAAGAGAAACAGGAAGAAGAGGAGGAAAAAGGGGAGGAGGAGGGAGAGGAGGAAAGAGAGGAGGAGGGGAAGGAGGAGGAAGAGAAAGAGGAGGAGGGGGAGAAGCAGGGAGAGGAGGAGGAGGAAGAGAAAGAGGAGGAGGGAGAGGAGGAGGGAGAGGAGGAGGAAGAGAAAGAGGAGAAGGGAGAGGAGGAGGGGGAGGAGGAGGGAGAGGAGGAGGAGGAAGAGAAAGAGGAGAAGGGAGAGGAGGAAGAGCCTGGAGGAGGAGGAAGAGAAAGAAGAAAAGGAAGAGGAGGGGAAAGAAGAGGCTGGAGAAGATGGAGGAGGAAGAAGAGAAAGAGGAAGAGGAGAGGGGAGAGGATGAGGGGAAGGAGGAGGAAGAGAAAGAGGAGGAGGGAGAGGAGGAAGAGGCTGGAGAGGAGAAGGAGGAAGAGAAAGAGGAGGAGGGGGAGGAGGGGAAGGAAGAGGTTGGAGAAGGTAGAGGAGGAAGAAGCGAAAGAAAAGGAGGGGGAGGAGAGAGGGGAGGAGAAAGAACAGGAAGAGGAGAGGGAGAAGGAGGAACAAGAGAAGGGGGAAGAGGGGAGGAGGAAAAGATGAGAGGAGGAGAAGGAAGCGGAAGAGAAAGAGGGAGAGGTGGAGAAGGGGGAGGAGGAGGGGAAGGAGGAGGAGGAAGAGGAGGAGGAGAAGAAGGTGGAGGAGGGAGAAAAGGGAAGAGGGGGGCAGAGGGTGGAGAGGGACTCAGGAAAACAGGTCCCCCTCACCCCCATCCCACCGTAATAAAGACATGACGCCTTTTTATGCTGAGAAAACATCAAGCTGTGTTTCTCCTTCCCCAGAGACACTTCGCAGCCCCTCTTGGGATCCAGCGCAGCGCAAGGTAAGCCAGATGCCTCTGCTGTTGCCCTCCCTGTGGGCCTGCTCTCCTCACGCCGGCCCCCACCTGGGCCACCTGTGGCACCTGCCAGGAGGCTGAGCTGCAAACCCCAATGAGGGGCAGGTGCTCCCGGAGACCTGCTTCCCACACGCCCATCGTTCTGCCCCCGGCTTTGAGTTCTCCCAGGCCCCTCTGTGCACCCCTCCCTAGCAGGAACATGCCGTCTGCCCCCTTGAGCTTTGCAAGGTCTCGGTGATAATAGGAAGGTCTTTGCCTTGCAGGGAGAATGAGTCATCCGTGCTCCCTCCGAGGGGGATTCTGGAGTCCACAGTAATTGCAGGGCTGACACTCTGCCCTGCACCGGGCGCCCCAGCTCCTCCCCACCTCCCTCCTCCATCCCTGTCTCCGGCTATTAAGACGGGGCGCTCAGGGGCCTGTAACTGGGGAAGGTATACCCGCCCTGCAGAGGTGGACCCTGTCTGTTTTGATTTCTGTTCCATGTCCAAGGCAGGACATGACCCTGTTTTGGAATGCTGATTTATGGATTTTCCAGGCCACTGTGCCCCAGATACAATTTTCTCTGACATTAAGAATACGTAGAGAACCAAATGCATTTTCTTCTTAAAAAAAAAAAAAACCAAAAAAAAAAAAAAAAACCAAAAAACTGTACTTAATAAGATCCATGCCTATAAGACAAAGGAACACCTCTTGTCATATATGTGGGACCTCGGGCAGCGTGTGAAAGTTTACTTGCAGTTTGCAGTAAAATGACAAAGCTAACACCTGGCGTGGACAATCTTACCTAGCTATGCTCTCCAAAATGTATTTTTTCTAATCTGGGCAACAATGGTGCCATCTCGGTTCACTGCAACCTCCGCTTCCCAGGTTCAAGCGATTCTCCGGCCTCAGCCTCCCAAGTAGCTGGGAGGACAGGCACCCGCCATGATGCCCGGTTAATTTTTGTATTTTTAGCAGAGATGGGTTTTCGCCATGTTGGCCAGGCTGGTCTCGAACTCCTGACCTCAGGTGATCCGCCTGCCTTGGCCTCCCAAAGTGCTGGGATGACAGGCGTGAGCCACCGCGCCCAGCCAGGAATCTATGCATTTGCCTTTGAATATTAGCCTCCACTGCCCCATCAGCAAAAGGCAAAACAGGTTACCAGCCTCCCGCCACCCCTGAAGAATAATTGTGAAAAAATGTGGAATTAGCAACATGTTGGCAGGATTTTTGCTGAGGTTATAAGCCACTTCCTTCATCTGGGTCTGAGCTTTTTTGTATTCGGTCTTACCATTCGTTGGTTCTGTAGTTCATGTTTCAAAAATGCAGCCTCAGAGACTGCAAGCCGCTGAGTCAAATACAAATAGATTTTTAAAGTGTATTTATTTTAAACAAAAAATAAAATCACACATAAGATAAAACAAAACGAAACTGACTTTATACAGTAAAATAAACGATGCCTGGGCACAGTGGCTCACGCCTGTCAACCCAGCACTTTGGGAGGCTGAGGCGGGTCGATCACCTGAGGTTAGGAGTTCAAGACCAGTCTGGCCAACTTAGTGAAACTCCCGTCTACTAAAAACACACAAATTGGCTGGATGTGGTGGCAGATGCCTGTAATCCCAGCTACACAGGAGGCTGAGGCAGGAGAATCACTTGAACCCAGGAGGCGGAGGTTGCAGTGAGCCGAGATCGTGTCACTGCACTCCAGCCTGGGTGACAGAGTGAGACTCTGTCTCAAAAATATAAGTAAATAAATAAATAAAATAAAATAAACAATCTTCCTGCTCAAAATTGAGGGCATTTTTGTTGAGATAGATTCATTCAGAGTGAGACTCTCACCTCCTACTTCTGTTTTTTTCTGATTTATTTTTATTTTTTTGCTACCTCTGTAGCGACGTTTTCATTGCTGGAGCACGGGTGAGACTATGTCTTTAGACTTCTCCCTCTCCTTCCCCTAAGCCTCCAACGCGTGCTAAAGTGCAAAAAACACCTGAGTCCAAACAGCCTGGCCGGGTGCAGTGGCTCATGCCTGTCATCCCAGCACGTTGGGAGCCTGAAGTGGGTGGATCACCCGAAGTCAGCAGTTCGAGACCAGCCTGGCCAACACGGTGAAACCCCGTCTCTATTAAAAATACGAAAATTAGCCGGGCATGGTGGCGCATGCCTGTAATCCCAGCTACTTGGGAGGTTGAGGCAGGAGAATCGCTTGAACCCAGGGGGTGGAGGGTGCAGTGAGCTGAGATTGTGCCACTGCACTCCAGCCTGGGTGACAGAGTGAGACTGTGTCTCAAAAAAAAAAAAAAAAAAAGAAAGAAAGAAAAGAAAAAGCAAGAAATGGCAGGGATATGGTTTGTCTTCAGAACCATGGTGGAGAGAAGATTGTGTGAGTTCCTGAGGCTGTCAGAACAAAAGACCATGACCTCAGAGTGGGAAGGTCAAAACAGCAGAGATTCATCCTCTCCCAGCTGTGGAGAACAGCAGTCTGTGATCCAGCTGTCTGAGGACCTTCCTCCCATCAGAAGCTCTAGGGGAGGCTCCTTCCTGCCTCTCCCAGCTCCTGGGGGCTCCAGGTGTCCCTGGGCTTGTGGCCGCATCACTCCAGTCTCTGCCTCCATCTCCACGTGGCCTTCTCCTCTGTGTCTGCGTCTCCTCTTCTGTCTCTTACAGGGACACCTGTCATTGTATTTAGGGCCCAGCCCTAAATGGAGTACCAGGATGACCTCATTATAACTAACTATATCTGCAGAGACCGTAGTTCCAAATAAGTCACCCGTCCTGGGTTCCAGATGAAATTATTTGTGTGGGGGAGATATTATTCCACCTGCTACGCAGGATGATTTGTTTTCCTCACTATCAGTGATTGAGATTAACATGTTTCTGTGCTTGGTTAGAGAAATGTAGGATGCTGTTCTGTCTCCTGCTCTTTTTTTTTTTTTTTTTTTTTTTGAGGTGGAGTCCTGCTCTGTTGCCCAGGCTGGAGGACAATGGTGCAATCTTGGTTCACTGCAACTTCCACCTCCATGGTTCAAGGAATTCCCCTGCCTCAGCCTCCCGAGTAGCTGGGATTACAGGTGCGTGCCACCATGTCCAGCTAATTGTTTTGTGTTTTTAGTAGAGATGGGATTTCGCCATGTTGGCCAGGCTGGTCTCGAACTCCTGACCTCAGATGATCCGCCCGCCTCGGCCTCCCAACGTGCTGGGATGACAGGTGTGAGCCACTGTGCCTGGCCCTGCTGTATCTTATGCACATAAAAATCTGTGAGAACTTTCCTTAGGTGATCATCCAAGCCTCAGGGGTCTGAGCAATGGCTTTTTGCTGTAAAAGTCAGACGTGGGGCCGGGCGCGGTGGCTCACGCCTGTCATCCCAGCACTTTGGGAGGCTGAGGCGGGCGGGTCACGAGGTCAGGAGATCGAGACCATCCTGGCTAACACGGTGCAACCCCGTCTCTACTAAAAATACAAAAAATTAGCCGGGCGTGGTGGCGGGCGCCTGTAGTGCCAGCTACTCGGGAGGCTGAGGCAGGAGGATGGTGCGAACCCGGGAGGTGGAGCTTGCAGTGAGCCCAGATCGCGCCACTGCACTCCAGCCTGGGCGACAGAGCAAGACTCCATCTTAAATAAATAAATAAATAAATAAATAAATAAATAAATAAATAATAAATAAATGAATAATAAAAATAAACTCAGACGTGGACGCCAAGCTGCCACGCGCACAGATTAGCCTGCGTCAGACGACCGGAGAGACTGGCTGCGTAGAATCCTCGTTGCCTTTGACTCCTGTCACCTTTACACGCCGGAAAGCCCTGGTCGTCTGCGTTTCTGTCCAGCTCCTGGACTTTTTTTTTTTTTTTTTTTTGAGACGGACTCTCACTCTGTCGCCCAGGCCGGAGTGCAGTGGCACGATCTCGGCTCACCACAACCTCTGCCTCCCGGGTTCAAGCGATTCTCCTGCCTCAGCCTCCCTAGTAGGTGGGATTACAGGTGCCCGCCACCACGCCTGGCTAATTTTTGTATTTTTACTAGAAACGGGGTTTCACCCTGTTGGCCAGGTTGGTCTTGAACTCCTGACCTCGTGATCCGCCTGCCTCAGTCTCCCAAAGGGCTGGGATTACAGGCGTGAGCCACCGCGCCCGGCCTCACCTCCTTGACCGTTTACAGGTGACAACTGTTTGAATCGGTCACCAAAGCGTCAAGATTACGGATCCTCAAGCCGTAGACATTTCACGTACAATCAAAATCAACTGAAAAGGCAGGCGACGTTTCCTGGAGGAACTTTGCTGAAAGAAAAGTCATGAGCCATAACAAACCCTGGAACCGGCTTCTTAACCCCCACCGCAAACTCCCAAGCTTCGGCGTGTGTTGAAAAACCAGAAAGACAGCCTTCTCTAAATAGGATCCACATCTTCATCTTTCTCTCAGGACCCCAAAGACACCTCCTGGCTGTTTCTTGCTGGAGAGAAAGCATTTCACGTGCAGTACACCCTGTTTGAAACATCGCTTGGGTATTTTGATACATTGTTTTGTTGTAGTCAGAAACAGCGCATCAGAAAACACAGTTGTACAAATACTCTTTTTAATGGTACTCGGTGGGGGCTGTGTGTGTGTTTTAAAATAACAAAACTGCTAAACTCCATGGGAATTACTCAAAATGAATATCAGGGAAAGGTTTCCTTCGTTACTTAAACAGATGCCTTTGCAACCTACTATTTTATTTTATTATGTCATTTCTATGGGAAGAGATTATTTAAAAGAAGAAAAGGGGCCCCAGGTTTTCTCTCCTAAATTTCTAGCCCCAAACCTTCGTGATATTGAAAAGCAAGTATATCACAAAAGACTGTCTTCTACAAATTATATTTTTAATTGCAGTGTGCGTGTGTGTTTTAAAATAACAAAACTGCTAAACTCCATGGGAATTAGTCAAAATGAATATCGGGGAAGGGTTTCCTTCGATACTTAAATAGGTACCTTTGCAACCTACTATTTTATTTTATTATGTCATTTCTATGGGAGGAGATTATTTAAAAGGAGGAGCTCACGTTTTTCGTACGAAATTTCTAGCCCCAACCCTCCATGATACTGAAAAGCAAGTATATCAGAAAAGACTGTGTTCTACAAATTATGTTTTTAATTGCACTGTGTGTGTGTGTGTGTGTGTGTGTGTTTTAAAATAACAAAACTGCTAAACTCCATGGGAATTACTCAAAATGAATATCAGGGAAAGGTTTCCTTCGTTACTTAAACAGATGCCTTTGCAACCTACTATTTTATTTTATTATGTCATTTCTATGGGAGGAGATTATTTAAAAGGAGGAGCCCACTTTCTTGCTTTTAAATTTCCAGCCCCAACCCTTCTGGACATAACTCGTCTTCCTCTGCAGATTGGAACAGATGATTTTGCCGTCCAAGCATCCACCGGTGCTGTAGGAGAAGACGCACCGTGTTAGGTAGGTCAGCTGGCTCTGAGTTGAAAGTGTCACCCAAACCCAGGAGATCCAGGGCAGAAATTGTTTTAGTTCCACAGAGCAGCCACGGGTGCACCGTCTGTGTATCTCTGTCAGTGATGCAATCCAATGCATCTGGCAAAGGGAACGCAGGGGGCTGCGAGGAAGGCCCATTCGAGTGGCCTGTAAAAATGCTGAAAGCTCCATACACCTTCCCTGTCTCTGGGATTCTCAGCATCCTGCTCTGCCCTCCAAGTACAGGTCGCTGACCCACCTCCCACCCCTGCCCACCTCCAATCACATGCCTTGCACCCCTTCCTACCATTAGGCCTGCCGCTAAGGACCTGATTAGCTATAAATTTATGGCAATCCGCAACCACCGGCCTTCCCCTCCTGATGTTTTCTGACACATTTCAGGAGACGCAGAATACAGGCTCGCTGGTCCACCCGAGACCCCTGGCTGCAGAAACAGCCCGGCTCGTGAACACAGTTGCCGTGGTAACATGCCCCCCAGCTGTAGCCGGCCTAGGAAAACTACGTGGACAAGGATGATTTTTTCACAAGTTTTATTTTTTATTTATTTACTTGGGACCTTTTGTTTGGCAGCCGGACGGTGCAGCTTTTTCTCTGCACGGAGTCTGGTTGTGTCTACACACACAGGCAACACGCATAGATGGACATAAAACTATCCCCTCCCAAGACTTGCAAAGGATGCACGTTTTTCAGGCTGCAGCCAGGACGAGGGAGAGGTAGAGGTTGTAGTTATTGAGTAGGGGAGTCCCAAGAAAATCGTTGCCATAGGAAAGAAACAGTGGCTCACGTCTCTCATTCCAGCACTTTGGGAGGCCGAGGCGGGCGGATCAACTGAGGTCAGGAGTTTGAGACCAGCCTGGCCAACATAGTGAAACCCCGCTCTACTAAAAATACAAAAATTAGCCAGGCACGGTGGCTCACGCCTGTAATCCCAGCACTTTGGGAGGTCAAGGCGGGAGGATCACCTGAGGTCAGGAGTTCGAGACCAGCCTGGCCAACATGGTGAAACCCCGTCTCTACTAAAAATACAAACAGTAGCCAGGCTTGGTGGCTCACATCTGTCATTCCAGCACTTTGGGAGGCTGACGTGGGGCGGATCAACTGAGGTCAGGGGTTCGAGACCAGCCTGGTCAACATGGTGAAACTCCATCTCTATTGAAAGTACAAACATTAGCCAGGCATGGTGGCTCACGCCTGTAATCCCAGCACTTTGGGAGGCCCAGGCAGGGGGATCGCCTGAGGTCAGGAGTTCGAGACCAGCCTGGCCAACATGGTGAAACCCCCGTCTCTACTAACAATACAAAAATTAGCTGAGCGTAGTGGTGCGCACCTGTAATCCCACATACTCAGGAGGCTGAGGCAGGATAATCGCTTGAACCCAGGAGGCGGAGGTTGCAGTGAGCTGAGATTGCACCACTGCACTCCAGCCTGGATGACAGAGCAAGACTCCATCTCAAACAAAAAGAAAAGAAATGCATGGGTCTTGATGGGTGACATTTTATGTGGAAATAATGACAACAGCTAAAACACAAAGCAAAGCTATTTTGTTTCCCAATTTACACAAAAAACCAAACCAAACAAAACAGGTGCTGAGGTGATATTGAAAGATAAGATTGCTTAGAATATGGAGGCTAATGTTTGGAGGTGACTTTTGTAAATTGATCTTCATCCCTGGCAGTCCTTTGGTTGAAGGAGCCTGGATTTTAGTGTAAGATTTGGCTGGTTTGTTATAACATGTGGATCCCCTTTCTTTCTTTCTTTCTTTCTTTCTTTCTTTCTTTCTTTCTTTCTTTCTTTCTTTCTTTCTTTCTTTCTTTCTTTTTCTTTCTTTCTTTCTTTTCCTTTCTTTCTTTTCCTTTCTTTCTTTCTCTCTCTTTCTTCTTTCCTTCCTTCTTTCTTTCTTTCTTTTTTCTTTCTCTCTTTTCTTTCTTTCTCTCTCTCTCTCCCTCCCTCCCTCCTTCCCTTCCTTCCTTCCTTCCATCTTTCTTTCTTTTTCTTTCTTTCTTTCTTTCTTTCTTTCTTTCTTTCTTTCTCTCTTTCTTTCTTTCTTTCTTTCTCTCTTTTTCTTTCTTTTCTTTCTTCTTTCTTTCTTTCTTTCTTTCTTTCTTTCTTTCTTTCTTTCTCTCTTTTCTTTCTTCCTTCTTTTTAAGTGAAAGCAAGTTTTTTAAGAAAGTGAAGTAATAAAAGAATGGCTACTCCAGAGGCAGAGTACCCCTTAGGGCTGCTGGTTGGCTATCTTTATATCTGCTCCTATTTATTTATTTATTTATTGGAGACAGAGTCTCGTTCTGTCGCCCAGGCTGGAGTGCAGTGGTGCAATCTTGGCTCACTGCAACCTCCGCCTTCCAGGTTCAAGCAATTCTCCTGCCTCAGCCTCCTGAGTAGCTAGGATTATAGTCATGAGCGACCACACCAAGCTAATTTTTTTTTTTTTTTTTGTATTTTTAGTAGAGACAGGGTTTCACCATGTTGGCCATGCTGGTCTCGAACTGCTAGCCTCAGGTGACCCGCCCGCCTCGGCCTCCCAACGTGCTGGGATGACAGGTTTGAGCCACCGCCCCCGGTCCATCCTCTTTATTTTTTAAATTCTATTTGTATTCTTGATCTTCCCAGTTTTAGTGGCTCTTCAGGGGCTGAGAAAGCATGAAATACAGAGAATTTCTCTCCTCTTTCAACCAGAAAAGTTGTCTCATGTCTTTGGAGGTGGTAAGACCAGAGATATCTTTCTTGCAGGAGGAAGATGATTTCAAGAACAGAGAAATTGAGATGATTTTCCCGAGACAGGCAGTTGTTTCTTTCCTCCTCTCAGACACCTGTCCCGCGAGGCCAAGATGAAGTTGCTTCATTTTCTTAAGAGAGAATGACCGGAATGTTCCGGAAAACCAAAACGTCCAAGCTTTTGCAGGATGGAAGGAGTGGATCTATAGCAATTGAATTGAACACTTGTGTCCCTGTGTCTCCCTTGCTGCCCCCCAAACCTGAGAGCCCATTTTCAGCTTCTCCAGTGACCCAGTTGTCCAAGCGGAAACTAGTTAATCACCCTCAGTGGACCTGATATTCCCCGGAAATTATGGCTCGTGGAGATCTCATCGGAATTGTAAACTCATGCAGCCAGCCACATCTGCAAGTCCCAGGGGAATACAGGTCAAAAAACGTACCGGAATTACAGAAAAATCGTGTTGTCATCTCTGCACCGTACAAGGACAGAAACGACCTGTTTCCAAGAATGACATTATATAGCATCCCTGCCTTTTCGTTGACGGGGGAGACTGTATTATCCTCTAAAAGGTGCCACGAAGAATATTCAGAAAGGGTAAAATGACAAAATTAAAAGGAACGAAGGTGTATAGAAAGGCCAATTCTAAAAACCTAAATGCTGGAGGCGGCGGGGTGGCCTGTGGTTGGTCTCTGCAAATTTTCTCCGGATCTGACAGAGATCCAGTTCCGTCACCTCCAGGGCACAACGTAAGACCCCTGTTTCTGCAGTTCTGCCTTTTTAATTGATCGCCAGCGCTTTCTGGAAGATGATAGAATAAGGCCAGATTGTACGTGCCGGGGTGCTGATCTTCATGACTGGGGTATGTGTGTGTGTTCTCCAAAATTAAAGGAGCAAAGTGAGACCACAGATTGTACAATTCCATTCGAATCACATGTCCAGAATAGGAAAATCTACTGGGGCAGAGGGTGGATCAGTAGTTGCTTAGGACTGGGGGAACAAGGATGGGATAACTACGGAGGGAGGGATCTGAAGATGGCAAGTCAGCTTCCTTGGGGGGTGATAAAGATATCCTAAAAGTGACTCTGAGTGCCTTAAATAGATGCATTGTACGATATGTCAGTTATAGCCCGACAAACCTGCTTTGAAGAAAAAGAAGGCAGATTGTGAAATACACATAATAAATGGAAGCAAAGCAAATGACAATGATTTTTAAATTTATTTTTATTTTTTGTAGAGATGGGGGTGTCTAGCTAGGTGGCCCGGGCTGGTCTCAAACTCATGGGCTCAAGCAATCCTCCAGCCTTAGCCTCCGAAAATGCTGGGACCACAGATGGGAGTCACCACCGTACCCATCCATACAACTTTTTTTTTTTTTAATGTGAGACTACAAAATTATGAGGACATATCATATATTTGGAAAACTAAGGTAGAAAATCTCTACTTGTGATTGTTTTAAAAGTGTATTCATTGGCCGGGCATAGTGGCTCACGCCTGTCATCCCAGCACTTTGGGAGCTCGAGGTGAGCAGATCACCTGACATCAGGAGTTCAAGACCAGCCTGCCAACGTGGTGAAACCCCATCTCTACTAAAAATAGGAAATTCACCTGGTGGCAGGTGCCTGTAATCCCAGCTACTCGGGAGGCTGAGGCAGAAGAATCGCTTGAACCCAGGAGGTGGAGATTGCACTGAGCTGAGATCACGCCACTGCGCTCCAGCCTGGGTGACAGAGCAAGACTCCATAAAAAAAAAAATTATAACCTAATGATTAAATACTGTAGGGAAGAGCTTACCACAATTGCTGGCCCATGGCCAATGCTGGGTATAAGACAGCTACTGCAAACAACCATGATGATGATACATCTCTTGTGTAGGGTTAGGTTGTTTGAGACACATTCTATGCTCCTTGATTTGATTGGAAGGTACCTTGGTTCCTTGGGGACTTGGAGGTGATGAAAGCCTCCCTGGGGACAAAACTCACCTTCACTTCTCTAATATCAAGCTTCAGCAACCTGCTCCAGCTACAGCACAGGGTTGGACAGGCCCAACAACAGAGGAAATCCACAAAGTGTGTCTTGACACATACATCCACGGGGTCTAACGAGGTGAGGCCAATGACTGCTTCCACACACCCCAGCCAGACTCTGACTTCACTCCCGGCAGGTTTCAGTAGACTTGGCAGCAGTTGGAGCGAGCTGGCTTCTTGCGGTAGGCAGCCATGTTGGAAGAGCTCCCAATAGTCCTCGTTTCCTGGTAATCTCATGCTTGGATCATCTTCTTCTCTTGAGTGAAGAGAAGAACTGCAGAGAGAGACAGAGACAGAGAGACAGATCACAGGGGCAGTTTCCCCCATACTGTTCTCAAGATAAATGAGTCAACTCTTACACCTCTTTTCTCTGGTGTAAAACAAGGCTGGTGAACAGGCAGAGAGAACTGGGGTGTTGGAGTAGCATTGACCTTCCTTCTTCATCCCTCTATAATCTCTCCTAGTGCAGGAGTAGGAAAACTAAAAATCACACGTCTGATCATCTGTGATCTCAGAGTCTTGGACAAGCCTTGCTTGCCAATCAGCAGGGATGGGAGTTGGAGCCATCTCCAAGTGTCCCCCCACAAATCTATGTCCACCTGGAAGTTTCAAATGCAACTTTATTTGGGAAAAGCAATTTTGCAAATGTTATTAAGTGAAGGATCTAGGGATGAGATCATCCTGGAGTAGGGTGGGTCCTAGGTCAAATGACAGGAAATCTGCCCACCTCGGCCTCCCAAAGTGCTGGGATTACAGGCATGAGCCACCAAACCTGGCCTATCATTGATTTAATGATTAATACGGTTAGGCTCTGTGTCCCCACCCAAATCTCATCTCAAATTGTAATTCCCATGTGTCCAGGGAGGGAGCTTGTGGAAGGTGATTGGATCACAGGGGCAGTTTTTGTCATGCTGTTCTCATGATAAATGAGTCAATTCTCAGAAGAGATGATGGTTTTAAAGTGTGGCACTTCTTTGCTCTCTTGCTCTCTCTCTCTCCTGAGTAGACTGGCTCATTCTTTCTACTGGTTACAAGCAATAGAAGTGATAACAAAATTGATGGTTTCTCATTTCCTAAATGGTACCAGTGGATTCCTGGTTTCCTCTCTCTCTCTTCTCTCTCTCTATCAACTTTTCCCTCAATCTCTCTATCAACCTCCCTCTCTCTCAATCTCAATCTCTCTCAGTCTCATTCTCAATCTCTTTTGCTCAATCTCTTTCTCAGCTTCTCTCCCTCAATTTCTCTTTTGCAACTTCTCTCTCTCAGTCTGTGTCTCTCAATCTCCCTCTCTCAATCTCTCTTGTAGTCTCCCTGTCTCTCATACTCTCTCTGTTTCTGTCTGTCTCTGCCCTTGCTCTAGGGAAAGCAAGTTCTTATGCTGTAAGTTCTCCTGTAAAAAGGTCCACATGATACGGAACTGGCCATCTTTGGCCAACATGAGTGAGTTTAGAAGTGTGCCTTTCACCAGTTGAGCCTTCAAATGAGATCCCAGCCCTGGATGACACAGTGACAGTAACCTGCTAGGAACTGTGAACCAGAGGCACCCAGCCAAGCTGCTCCCAGACTCCCAACCCAGTGAAACCATAAGATAATAAATGCATGTTGTTTTAAGCTGCTAAGTTTGGGGGTCACTTGTTACACAGCAACAGCTGACTCATACATTTTCTTTGAAATTGATTTCCACTTCTGTCACCAGCATCATTCCATAAATTTGCTCTATGTGCATTGCTGACCTGCAGTAGAAGTTTTGGAGAAGTGAACCACATCCCCTTATCTGCCATTTGACAGCAAGCAGCCTCAAACATTCATAATTTCTTTCCTGACTCTCCACTCCACACTGTTGCCTGCCTTCCTGGTTCCAGATCTTTGGATCTGGACTGACACCTGGGCACTGTCATAGGCATCCGTGTGAAGAGACCACCAACAGGCTCTGTGTGAGCAATAAAGCTTTTTAATCACCTGGGTGCAGGTGGGCTGATTCTGAAAAGAGAGTCAGCAAAGAGTGGTGGGATTATCATTAGTTCTTATAGGTTCGGGATAGGTGGTGGAGTTAGGAGCAATTTTTTGTGGGCAGGGAGTGGATCTTACAAAGGACATTCTCAAGGGTGGGGATGATTTTACAAAGTACCTTCTTAAGGGCGGGGGAGGATATTACAAAGTACCTTCTCAAGGGTGGGGATGATTTTACAAAGTACCTTCTTAAGGGCGGGGGAGGATATTACAAAGTACCTTCTCAAGGGTGGGGGTGGATATTAGAAAGTACCTTCTTAAGGGCGGGGGAGGATATTACAAAGTACCTTCTCAAGGGTGGGGGAGGATATTACAAAGTACCTTCTCAAGGGTGGGGGAGGATATTACAAAGTACCTTCTCAAGGGTGGGGATGATTTTACAAAGTACCTTCTTAAGGGCAGGGTGGATATTACAAAGTACCTTCTCAAGGGTGGGGGTGGATATTACAAAGTACCTTCTCAAGGGTGGGGATGATTTTACAAAGTACCTTCTTAAGGGCGGGGGAGGATATTACAAAGTACCTTCTCAAGTGTGGGGGTGGATATTACAAAGGACATTCTCAAGGGTGGGGATGATTTTACAAAGTACCTTCTTAAGGGCAGGGGAGGATATTCCAAAGTACCTTCTCAAGGGTGGGGAGGATATTACAAAGTACCTTCTTAAGGGCGGGGGAGGATATTACAAAGTACCTTCTCAAGGGTGGGGGTGGATATTAGAAAGTACCTTCTCAAGGGTGGGGAGGATATTACAAAGTACCTTCTCAAGGGTGGGGGTGGATATTACAAAGTACCTTCTCAAGGGTGGGGATGATTTTACAAAGTACCTTCTTAAGGGTGGGGGTGGATATTACAAAGTACCTTCTCAAGGGTGGGGGAGGATATTACAAAGTACCTTCTCAAGGGTGGGGATGATTTTACAAAGTACCTTCTTAAGGGCAGGGTGGATATTACAAAGTACCTTCTCAAGGGTGGGGGTGGATATTACAAAGTACCTTCTCAAGGGTGGGGATGATTTTACAAAGTACCTTCTTAAGGGCAGGGGAGGATATTACAAAGTACCTTCTCAAGTGTGGGGGTGGATATTACAAAGGACATTCTCAAGGGTGGGGATGATTTTACAAAGTACCTTCTTAAGGGCAGGGGAGGATATTCCAAAGTACCTTCTCAAGGGTGGGGAGGATATTACAAAGTACCTTCTTAAGGGCGGGGGAGGATATTACAAAGTACCTTCTCAAGGGTGGGGGTGGATATTACAAAGTACCTTCTTAAGGGCAGGGGAGGATATTACAAAGTACCTTCTCAAGGGTGGGGGTGGATATTAGAAAGTACCTTCTCAAGGGTGGGGAGGATATTACAAAGTACCTTCTCAAGGGTGGGGGTGGATATTACAAAGTACCTTCTCAAGGGTGGGGATGATTTTACAAAGTACCTTCTTAAGGGTGGGGGAGGATATTACAAAGTACCTTCTCAAGGGTGGGGGTGGATATTACAAAGGACATTCTCAAGGGTGGGGATGATTTTACAAAGTACCTTCTTAAGGGTGGGGGAGGATATTACAAAGTACCTTCTCAAGGGTGGGGGTGGATATTACAAAGTACCTTCTTAAGGGCAGGGGAGGATATTACAAAGTACCTTCTCAAGGGTGGGGATGATTTTACAAAGTACCTTCTTAAGGGCGGGGGAGGATATTACAAAGTACCTTCTCAAGGGTGGGGGTGGATATTAGAAAGTACCTTCTCAAGGGTGGGGATGATATTACAAAGTACCTTCTCAAGGGTGGGGGTGGATATTACAAAGTACCTTCTCAAGGGTGGGGATGATTTTACAAAGTACCTTCTTAAGGGCGGGGGAGGATATTACAAAGTACCTTCTCAAGGGTGGGGGTGGATATTACAAAGTACCTTCTTAAGGGCAGGGGAGGATATTACAAAGTACCTTCTCAAGGGTGGGGATGATTTTACAAAGTACCTTCTTAAGGGCGGGGGAGGATATTACAAAGTACCTTCTCAAGGGTGGGGAGGGTGTGTTGTACAAAATACATTCACAAGGGTGGGGGACTATCAGAAAGTACATTATCACAAGGGCGGGGAGGGTGTATTGTCACAAAGTCAATTGATCAGTTAGGGTTGGGCAGGAACAAATCACAATGGTGGAATGTCATCAGTTAAGACAGGAACTGGCTATTTTCACTTCTTTTGTGGGTCTTCAATTGCTTCAGGCCACCTGGATGTATACGTGCAGGTCACAGGGGATATGATGGCTTAGCTTGGGCTCAGAGGCCTGACAGGCACTGCTTACTCACTGATGAGTCTCCGTTGGGACTTACTTCCAGGACTCCATCAGCAGGGGATTTTTCTGCTTCAAGGGCTCATGCTGGGCACATGAATGGAAGGGTTGATTCCTCCTGGAGGCGTCGAGGGAGATGCCTCCAAAAGGAGGAACTGACTCTCTTTGACCAACGTCACATGATAGCAACCTGCCAGGAACCAGGAACCAGAGACACGTATCCAACCAAAAGGCACCTGCCTCTTCCCCAGCTCCTGCTGGTTTGTGGGGCAACCCTGGGAGTCCTTGTCTTGCAAATGTGTTGTCTAGCTCTCCTCCTGAATGAGGCATCACCTGCATTCTCCACCTGCGTTCTTTGGAAGAGCTTTGCAGCCTCTCAGGAGAGCTGCTCACCTGTCCCCCCTGCCTGCTCATTGCCCTGTGCAAACCAGAGTCCTGAGACACTCCCCAAAGGTTGGTCCCTACCAACCCAGGTTGCCTCTTGTTTCTTGCAACAAGACAGCAAAAGACGCTGCAGAAGGATCGCTTACCTTGTTTGGAAAGAGAGCCCACCCTTTCACCTCGCTGGCAAACATTTTCTTGTGTCCTAATGAGAACCCCAAGGAATACCCCGGGATGTGAGGAGAGGGAGCGTCCGCCCGGCGGCCCGCCCCAAGGAGCCTGAGGCTGTCCTGCACACATCACCACACACACTCTCTGCATTGCAGTCCCATGTTTATAGAGAAGATTACAGGTGAGTTTCCAAAATCCCAGCCCATGCTGCCCCTACCTGACGATGTTTGATTTCCGAATTCCTTTAATTTCAGCAAATGGATATTGGCTGTGGGTCAGCATAGATTTTTTCCGGTTATTTAAACAACATTTCAGATGCTTTTCCTGGCATCATTAGCTGAATGCTTCTACTGACAGCTGGAATCATTCAAACATCTGAGACAAGAGAGTGAACAGGACGTTCACTTGTTACCGTATCTCCTCGCTTCTCAACCACCACCCCTGAAATTCGCAGACTGTCACTGGGGAGCCTGTGAACGTGGCTGAACGCAAACGGATTTAAAACTTGACAGGTGTTTCCAGCATGGAAAGGAACAAGGACTATAACGGCGAATAATAATAATAATAATAATAATAAAAGACAAATTAGGGATCAAGATCCAGTCTGTTTTTGTCTCATTTATAGTCTTTTCTCCAAGAGGTTGTAGGCTGGTACCATTTCACTAGGTTAAAAGCCTACGGTGTCAAGAGGTGCTAAGCTTTGCTGCTGTCTCTTGCTTGGCAAGACAAGCTCCGAGTCTTTCTGGAACTGACAATTGTGTGTGGGCATTTTCTTGTTTCTGGGGTTCTTTGCATGCATAGGGGCTGATCTTTGATATCCACTCTGGACTCCTCTCTGCAAACCTCTGGACATGCCACAGACAGCAGCTGTAACTTACTGAGGTCAACCTGCTTACAACCCACGTACCAACCCCATGGAGGTGATTGTCGTATGACTAACAGCAGGCAGTTAAGGAGAAAGTCATGCTTTACAAACGAGTCTGTGACTAGAAATCACAGGACCTGATGAATCCCTCAGAAACCCAAGAGGGATGGACTAACATTAAGGGGTTGTGGACTGTCCAGCCGTGCAGGGACAGTCTCCAAGAAGATGCTTTAGACACAACGGTGAATTC